>NW_011332694.1:210082-420164 GCF_000001405.40 Homo sapiens
GGGGAAAAACCACATATCCCCTAATATAAACTACAAAAAAGCTGTCTGTGAAAACCCTTTGTGATGTGCGAATCCATCTTGTATTGTTAAATCTTTCTTTTGATTTGGCAGATTGGAAACACTCTTTTTGGAGAAACTGCAAAGGCACATTTTGAAGCCCATTGACGTCCATGGGGAAAAACAAAATATCCTCAGATAAAAGCTAGAAAGAAGCTATCTGTGAAACTGCTTTGTAAAGTGTAGATTCATCTCTCAGGGTTAAAACTTTCTTTTGATTCAGTGGGTTGGAAACTCTCTTTTTGGAGGACCTGCAAAGAAACATTTGGGAGCTTATTGAAGCTTACAAAGAAAAACTGAATATCCCCAGATAAAAGGTAGAAAAAAGCTATCTGTTAAACTGCTTTTTGATGTCTGCATTCAACTTACATAGTTAAACCTTTCTTTTCTTCAGCAGGTTGGAAACATTCTTTCTGGAGTATCTGCAATTAGACATTTTGTAACCCTTTTTGGCCTATGAGATAAAAGTGAATATCCCCAGATTAAAACAAGAAAGAATCTATCTGTGAAAATGCTTTGAGATGTGTGGATTCATCTCACAGTGGTAAAGCTTTCTTTGGATTCAGCACGTAAGAACCAATGTTTTTGTAGACTTCGTGAAGGGACATTTGGGAGCTGATTGAGCCCTATGGAGAAAAACTGAATATCCCTAAATAACAACAATGAATAACCTACCTGTAAAATTGTTTTGTGATGTGGAGATTCATCTCACAGGGTTAAAACTTTCTTTTAATTCACCAGGTTGGAAATACTCTTTTTGTAAAATCTGTGAAGGGATATTAGGGATCCCATCAAAAACCTGAATATCCCCAGATAAAAACTAGAAAAAACTATGTGTGAAACTGCTTTGGGATATGTGAATTATTCTCAAAGAGTTTAATCTTCCTATTGATTCAACAGACTTGAAACACTCTTTTTCTAGAATTTGCAAAGGGATATTTGGGAGCCCATTGAAGCCTATGTTGAAAAATCAAATATCCTCAGAAAAAAATTAGAAAGAATCTACTTGTGAAATTGCTTTGTGATGTGTGGGCTCATCTCATGGAGTTAAACCTATCTTTTGATTAAGAGGTTGAAAACACTTTTTGAGAATCTGCAAAGGAACATATAAGAACTCAATGAGGCTTTTGTGAAAAACTGAATATTCCCAGATGAAAACTAAAAAGAAGCTTTCTGTGAAACTGCTTGGTGATTTATAGATTCATCTCATCGAGTTAAAACTTTCTTTTGATTCAGCAGGTTAAAAACACTCTTTTTCCAAAATCAGCTAACAGGTATTTGGGACTACCTTGAGGCCTTCAAAGAAAAACTGAATATTCCCAGATAAAAACTAGAAAGAACCTGTCTGTGAAAATGCTTTGTGATTTGTGGATTAAATTCACAGAGTTAAGCCTTTCTTTTGATTCAGCAGGTTGAAAACACTCTTTTTGGAGAATCGGCAAAAAAACATTTGGGAGCCCACTGAGGCCTGGGGGAAACACTGAATATTCTCAGATGAAAACTAGAAAGAGCTATCTGTGAAACTGCTTTGTTATGTGTGGATTCATCTCACAGAAAGAAACCTTTCTTTTGATTCAACAGGTTGGAAACGCTCTTTTTGTAGAACCTGCAAAGGGACAGTTGGGAACTCATTGAAGCCTATGGGGAAAAAAAATCCACAGATAAAATCAATAAAGAAGCTATCTGTGCAACTGCTTTGTGATGTGTGGATTCTTCTCACACAGGTAAAGTTTTCTTTTGATTCAACAGGTTGGAAATACTCTTTTTGGAGAATCTGTGAAAGGACATTTGGATGTCCATTTGGGCCTATTGGGAAACAATGAATATCCCCAGATAAAAACCAGAAAGAAGCTATCTGTGAAACTGCTTTGTGACATGTAAATTCATCTGACAGAGTTAAACCTTTCTTTTGATTCAGCAGGTAGTAAACGCTCTTCTTGGAGGATCTGCAAAGGGACATTTGAGAGCCCATTGAGGCCTAAGGGGAAGAACGGAATATCCTCAGGTATAAACTACAAAGAAGCTGTCTGTGAAAATGCTTTGTGACGTGTGGATTCGTCTCATAAAGTTAAACCTTTCTTTTGATTCAGCATGTTGGCAACACTCTTTTTTGAGAATCTGTGAATGGATATCTTGGAGCTTATTGAGGCTTATGGGGAAATAGAGCATATCCCCAGAAAAAAACGTAGAAAGAAGTACCTGTGAAACTGCTTTTTTATTTGTGGATTCAACTTAAATAATTAAAGTTTTCTTTTATTCAGCAGGTTGGAAACAGTTTTTTTTGGAGTATCTGCGAATGGACATTTGGGAACCCTTTGAGGCCTATGGGGAAAAAACAAATATCCACATATTAAAAGAAGAAAGAACTTATCTGTGAAACTGCTTTGTGATGTGTGGTTCATCTCACAGAATTAAAACTTTTGTTTGATTCAGCAGGTTGAAAAAGCTTCTTTTGGAGAATTTGTGAAGGGACATTTTTGAGCTGATTGAGGCTTATGGGGAAAAACCGAATATCCCCAAATAAAAACCACAAATAATCTATCTGTAAAACTGCTTTGTGATGCGTAGATTCATCTTACAGTGTTAAACCTTTCTTTTGATTCAACAGGTTGGAAATAATCTTTTTGTAGAATCCATGAAGGGACATTTGGGATCCCATTGAGGCCTATCAAGAAAAACCTAATATCTCCAGATAAAAACTAGAAAGAAGCTATCTGTGAATCTGCTTTATGATATGTGGATTCTTCTCACATAGTTACATCTTTCTATTCATTGAACAGATTTGAAACACTCTTTTTCTAGGATCTGGTAATGGATATTTCAGAGCCCATTGAGGTCTATGTTGAAAAAAATTATCCCTAGAAAAAACTAGAAAGAAGCTATCTGTGAAACTGCTTCATGATGTGTTGATTCATCTGACAGAGTTAAACTGATCTTTTTATTAAGCAGGTTGGAAACACTCTTTTCTGAGAATCTCTGAAGAGAAATAAAGGAGCCAATTGGGGGCCAGGTGTGGTGGCTCATGCCTGTAATCCCAGCAATTTGGGAGGCTGAGTCAGGGGGATCATGAGATCAGGAGATCAAGACCATCCTGGCTAATGTGGTGAAAACCTGTCTCTACTAAAAATACAAAAAAAATTAGCTGGGCATGTTGATGGGCCCCTATAGTCCCAGCTGCTTGGGAGGCTGAGGCAGGAGAATGGTGTGAACCTGGGAGGCAGAACTTGCAGTGAGCTGAGATCGCACCACTGCACTCCAGCCTGGGTGACAGAGCGAGACTCCATCTCAAAAAAAAAAAGAAAAAGGAGCCCATTGGGGCATATGTGGAAAAACCGAATATTCCCAGATAAAAACTACAAAGAAGCTTTTAGTTAAACTGTTTTGTGGTGCGTGGATTCATTTCATAGAATTAAACCTTTCTTTTAATTCAGCAGGTTAAAAACTCTTTCCAAAATCTGCCAACAGATATTTGGGATCCCCTTGGGTCCTAAAGGAAAAACTGAATATTACCAGATAAAAACTAGAA
Source organism: Homo sapiens (assembly GCF_000001405.40). Classification (NCBI taxonomy): domain Eukaryota; kingdom Metazoa; phylum Chordata; class Mammalia; order Primates; family Hominidae; genus Homo; species Homo sapiens. Next base: position 213,666 of record NW_011332694.1, read on the forward strand.
AGAACCTATCTATGAAACTGCTTTGTGATGTATGGGTGAAATACACAGAGTTAAACCTTTCTTTTGATTCAGCAGATTGAAAATAATCTTTTTGGAGAATCTCTGAAAAACAAATTTGAGAGCTCATTGAGGCCTGTGGGGAAAAACTGAATATCACCAGATTAAAACTGGAAATAAGCTATCTGTGAAACTTTGTGATGTGTGGATTCATCTCACAGAAAGAAACTTTCTTTTGATTCAGCGGTTTTGAAACACCCTTTTTTGAGAATCTGCAAAGGGACAGTTGGGAGCTGTTTGAGGTTTTATGGGGAAAAATTTAATATCTTCAGATATAATTAAAAAAGAAACTATCTGTGAAACTCCTTTGTGAGATGTGGACATTTGAGTGCCCTTTCAGGCCTATTGGGAAAAACTGAATAACCCCAGATAAAAACCAGAAAGAAGCCGTCTGTGAAACTGCTTTGCAATGTGTGGATTCATCTCACAGAGTTAAAACTTTCTTTTGATTCACCATGTTGGCAACACTCTTTTTGTAGAATCTGCAAAGGGACATTTGGGAACACATTGAGTCCAATAGGGAAAAATTGAATACCCCATAAAAAAGTAGAAAAAAGCTATATGTGAATCTGCTTGGTGATGTGTAAATTCAACTCACAGAGGTAAACATTTCTTTTGTGTCAACAGGTTGGAAACACTCTTTTTGGAGAACCTGTGAAAAAATGTGAAAGCCCATTGAGGGCAATGGGGAAAAACTTAATATCTCCAGATAAAAATGAGAAAGAAACTATTTGTGCATCTGCTTTATGATATGTTGATTCATCTCACATAGGTAAACCTTTCTCTTCATTCAGCAGGTTGGAAACAATCTGATTGGAGAATCTGCAAAGGGACACATGGCAGCCCATTGAGGTCCACAGAGAAAAGCCAAATATCCCTATATAAAAACTAGAAAGAATCTATCTGTGAAAGTGCTTTGTGATGTGTGAACTCATTTACAGAGTTTAAAATTTCTTTTGATTCAGCGAGATGGAAACACTCTTTTTGTAGAATAAGAAAAAGGACACTTTGGAGTCCCTTAAGGAGTATGGGGAAAATGGAATATTCCCATATAAAAACCAGAAACATCTTTCCATGAAACTGCTTTGTGATGTTTTGATTCATCTCACAGAGTTAAACCTTCCTGTTGATTCAGCAGATTGGAAACACACTTTTTGGAGACTCTGCAAAGGGAAATTTTAGAGCCAATTGACGCCTAAGAAAGTTACCTGTGAAGGTGTTTTGTGAATGCTGGATACATATTAGAGAGTTAAACCCTTGTCTTGATTCAACAGGTTGGAAAAAACTCTGTTTGTAGAAGCTGCAAAGGGAAATTTGGGTGCTCAAATAGGCCTATGGGGAAATACCGAATATCACTAGGTAAAAATCACAAAGAAGCTATCTGTGAAACTGCTTTGTGATATGGGGATTTATCTCACAGAATTAAATCTTTCTTTTAGTCAGCATTGGAAACACTGTTTTTGGAGAATCTGCAAAGGGACACTTGTGAAACCTTTGAGGCCTATGGGGAATAACTGAATATCCCTAGATTAAAACTGGAAAGAAGTAATCTCTGAAGCAGCTTTGTGATGTGTGGATTCAGCTCACAGAGTTAAAACTTTCTTCTGATTCAGCGGGTTGTGAACACTCTTTCTGGAGATTCTGCAAAAAAAACATTTGGGAGCCCACTGAGGCATATGGGGAAAGACCAAATATTCCCAGATAGAAACTAGAATGAAGCTATCTGTGGAACTGATTTGTGATATGTGGATTCATCTCACAGTGTGAAACTTTTCTTCTTGTTCAACAGGTTGTAAACAATCTTTTTGTAGACTCTGTGAAGGGACATTTGGGAGCCCATTGAGACCTACGAGAGAAAAAAAAATCCACAGATAATGGGAAGAAAGAAGCTACCTCTAAAACTGCTTTGTGGTGTTTGGATTCAGCTCTCAGAGTTAAACTTTTCCTTTGAATCAGCAGGTTGGAAGCACTCTTTTTGGAGAATCTGCGAAGGGACATTTGAGAACCCATTGAGGCCTATGGAGAAAAACTGAACATCCCGAAATAAAAACTACAAAGAAGTTATCTGTGAAACTGCTTTGTGACTTGTAGATTCATCTCACGAAGTTAAACTTTTCTTTAGATACAGTAGTTTGGAAACACTCTTTTGGTAGAAACTGCAAACAGATATTTGGGAGCACATTGAGGCCTATGGGGAAAAATGGAATATCCCCAGATAAAAATTAGGAAGAAGCTATCTGTGAAACTCCTTTGTGATGTGTCGATTCATCTCACAGACTTAAAACTTTCTTTTCATTCAGCAGGATGGAAACACTCTTTTTGTAGAATCTGCGAAGGAACATTTGGGATCCCATTGAGTTTATGGAGAAAAACAGAGTATCCCAAGATAAAAACTATAAAGGAGATATCTGTAAAACTGCTTTGTGTTGTTGGACTCACCTGACAGTATTAAACCTTTCATTTGATTTAGTAGGTTTGAAGTGCTCTTTTTGGAGATACTGTGAAGGGACATTCGGGAGCCCATTGAGGTTTATGGGAAAAAAACAGAATATCCCCAGAAAAAAACTAGAAAGCAGGTTTCTGTGAAACTGCTTTGTGATGTGTGGATTCATCTCACTGAGTTAAACCTTCCTGTTAATTCAACAGATTGGAAACACACTTTTTGGAGACTCTGTGAAGGGACATTTTAGAGCCCACTGAGGCCTAAGAAAGAAAACTGAATATCCCTAGGTATAAACTAGAAAGAAGCTATCTGTGAAACTACCTCTTGAAGTGTGGATTCATCTCATAGAATTAAACCATTCTTTAGATTCAGCAGGTTGGAAACACCCTTTTTGGAGACTCTAAAAAGGGACATTTGTGAGCCTGTGGAGGCTTATTCAGAGAAACCGAATATTCAAAGGTAAAAACTAGAAAGAAGCTTTCTGTGAAACTGCTTTTTGATGTGTGCATTCATTTCACAGAGTTAGAACTTTTTTTGATTCAGCAGTTTGGAAGCACTCTTACTGTAGAATATGTGAAGGGAGATTTGAGAGCTCATTGAGGCCTATGGGGAAAAACTGAGTATGGCCAGATAAAAACTAGAAATAAGCTATTTGTGAAACTGCTTTGTGATGTGTGGATTCATCTCACAGAGGTTGGAAATTCTCTTTTTGTAGAACCTGTGAAGGGACATTTCATAGGCCATCAAGGCCTATGGGGAAAAACAGAATATCCCCAAATAAAAACTAGGAAGAAGCTATTTGTGAAACTGCCTTGTGACTTGTAGATTCCTCTAACATAGGTAAACTTTTTTTTTGATTCAGCGGATTGGAAACATTCTTTCTGGAGTATCTGCATAGGGACATTTGGGAGCTCATTGATGCCTAAGGGAAAAAACGAATATCCCCATACAAAAACTAGAAAAAACTATCTGTGAAACTGCCTTGTGATGTGTGGATTCATCTCAAAGAGTTAAATTTTTTTTTGATCAAGCAGGTTGGATACACTGTTTTTGTAGAATCTGCAAAGAGACATTTGGGAGCCTAATGAGGCTTACCTAAAAACCAAATATTGCCAGATAAAAACTAGAAAAAAACTATCTGTTAAACTGCTTTGTGTTGTGTGCATTCATCTCACAGAGATGAACCTTTCTTTTGACCCAGCAGGTTGGAAACACTGTTTTTGGATAAACTGAGAAGGTGCTTTTGGGAGCCCATTGAGGCCTATGGAGAAAAACTGAATATCTCCTCATAAAAACTAGAAAGAAGCTATCTGTGAAACTGCTTTGTGATTTGTAAATCCATCTCAGAGTTAAACCTTTCTTTTGTTTCAGCAGATTGGAAGCACTGTTTTTACAGAATTTATGAAGTGATATTTGGGATAACATTGAGGCCTATGGGGAAAAGCCAAATATCCCAAGATAAAAACAAGAAAGAAGCTATGTGTGAAATGGCTTTGTGACATGTGGATTCATCACACAGAATTAAAACATTCTTTTGATTGAGCAGGTTGGAAATGCTCTAACTGGAGAATCTGCAGACGAACATTTGGAAGCCCATTGAGGCCTAAGGGGAAAAATCAAATATCCCCAGAAAAAAAAACTAGAAAAAATCTATCTGAGAAACTGTTTCATGATGTGTGCATTCATCTCACAGAGTTAAACATGTTTTTTGATTCAGCAGATTGAAAATACGTTTTTTTGTAGAATCTGTGAAGGAAAATTTGGGAACCCATCAAGGCCTTTTGGGAAAGACTGAATATCCTCAAATAAACACTAGAAAGAAGTTATCTGTGAAACACCTTTGTCATGTATGGATTCATCTCACAGGGTCAAATCTTCCTTTTAACTGAGCAGCTTGGAAACATTCTTTTAGGAAATCAGTAAAGGGACATTTGGGAGCCCATTGATGCCTATGGGGCAAAACTGATTCTGCCCAGATGAAATCCAGAAATAAGCTATCTGTGAAAGAAATTTGTGGTGGGTGGATTCATCTTTTAAATTTTTCTTTTAATCTAGCAGGTTGGAAACAATCTTTTTGTAGAATCTGTGAAGGGACATTTGGGAGCCCATTGAGGTATATGGGGAAAAATCCAATATCCTAATATAGAAACTGGAAAGAAGATATCTGTGAAACTGCTTTGTGATGTGTGAATTCATCTCACAAAGTTAATCCTGCCTGTTGATTAAGTAGGTGGACAACACCCTTTTTGGAATATCTGGGAAGGGACAATTTTTAGAGCATTTGCATGTATGGGGAAAAAGAGAATAAAGAAGATAAAAACTAAAAAGATGCTATCTTTGAAATTGCTTTGTGATGTGCAGATTCATCTAACGGAGTTCAGTCTTTCTTTTGATTCAGCATGTGGGAAACACTCTTTTGTAGAATCTCCCAAGGGTCATTTGGGAGTTTATAGAGGCCTATGGGGAGAAACTGAATATCTCGAGATAAAAACTAGAAACAAGCTATCTGTGAAATTGCTTTTTGATGTGTGGATTCATCTCACAGAGTTAAACATTTTATTTGATCCAGCAGGTTGGAAACACTTTTGTTGAATCTGTGAAGTGACCTTTTGGAGCCCTTGAGGCCTACAGGGAAAAACAGATTATCACCAGATAAAAGCTAGAAAGAAGCTATCTGTGAATCAGCTTTGTGAAGTTTGGACACTTATCACAGAGTTAAACATTTCTTTTGATTCAGCTGGTTGGAAACACTCTTTGTGGAGATTCTGGGAAGGGACATTTGGGAGTCCATTGAGGCCTATGGGGATAAACAGAATATCCACAGAGAAAACTAGAAAGAAGTTATCCGTGAAATGCTTTGTGATATGTGGATTCATCTCACAGAGGTAAATTTTTCATTTGATTTAGCTTATTGGAAACACTCCTTTTGGAGGCTTTGCAAAGGGACATTTCTGAGCCATTGAGGCCTATGGGGAAAAATTGAATATCCTTGTATAAAAACTAGAAAGAAGCTATCTGTGAAACTGCTTTGTGATGTGTGGATTCATCTCACAGGGGTAAAACTTTCGTTTGACTCAGCAGATTGGAAGCACTCCTTTTGGAAACTCTGCAAAAGAACATTTGTGAGCCCATTGAAGCCTATGGGGAAAAATTGAATATCCACAGATTAAAAACTAGAAAGAAGCTATCTGGGAAACTGCTTTGCGTTGTGTGGATTCGTCCAAAAGAGTTAAGCCTTTCTTTTGATTCAGCAAGTTGGAAAAACTCTTTTTGGAGGAACTGGGAAGGGACATTTCAGAGCCCATTGTTACCTATCGGGGAAATGCCAATATCACCAGATTAAACTTAGAAAGAAGCTATCTGTGAAACTGCTTTGTGGTATGTGGGTGCATCCCACAGAGTTAAGCCTCTCTTTTGATTCAGCAAGTTAGAAAAACTCTTTGTGGAGAATCTGGGAAGGGACATTTGGGAGTCAATTGAGGCCTATGGGGAAAAACTAAATATCTACAGAGAAAAACTAGAAAGAAGTTATCTGTGAAACAGCTTTGTGATGTGTGGATTCATCTCACAGAGGTAAATCTTATTTTGATTCAGCATGTTGGAAACACTCCTTTTGGAGACTCTGCAAAGAGACATTTTTGAGCCCCTTGAGGCCTATGGGGAAAAATTGAGTATCCTTGTATAAAAACTAGAAAGAAGCTATATGTGAAACTGCTTTGTGATGTGTGGGTTCATCTCACAGACGTAACACTTTCGTTTGACTCAGCATACTGGAAGCACTGTTTTTGGAGACTCTGCAAAGGGACATTTTTTGAGCCCATTGAAGCCTATGGGGAAAAATTGAATATCCCCATATAAAAAATAGAGAGAAGGTATCTGTGAAACTGCTTTGTGATTTGAAATTCATCTCAAAGAGTTAAACATTTGTTTTGATTCAGCAAGTTGGAAACATTCTTTTTGTGGTATCGGTGAAGGGACAATTTGGAGCCCAATGAGGCCTATGGGGAAAAACCAAATATCCTCAGATGAAAACCAGAAAGAAATTATCTGTGAAACTGCTTTCAGTTGTGTGGATTCATCCAACAAAGTTAAACTTTTATTTTGATCTAGCAGGTTGGAAACACTCTTTTCATGGAATATGCAAAGGGACATTTGTGAGCTCATTGATGCCTATTGGGAAAATGACAATATCCCCAGATAAAAACTAGAAAGAAAGTATCTGTGAAACTGCTTTGTGATACATGAGGGCATCTCACAGAGTTAAGCATTTCTTTTGATTCAGCAAGTTGGAAAAACTCTTTCTGGAGAATCTGCAAAGGGACATTTTGGAGCCCATTAAAGCCTATGGGGAAAAAAAGGAATATCCCCAGATAAAAACTGGAAACAAGGAACCTGTGAAACTGCTTTGTGATGGGTGGATTCATTTCACCATGTTGAACCTTTCTCCTGATGCAGCATGTTGGAAACACTCTTATTGGAGAATATGCAAAGAGACATTTGGGAGCTCTTTCAGGCCTATTCAGAAAAACAGAATAACCCCAGATAAGAACGAGAAAGAAGCTATTTGTAAAACTGCTTTGTGATTTGTGGATTCATCTCACAGAGTTAAAACGTTTTTTGATTCATTGGATTTTAAACACTCTTTCTGTAGAACCTGTGAAGGGACATTTTGGAGCCTATTGAGGCCTATGGGGAAAAAAACAAATATCCACAGATAAAAACTAAAAATAAGCTATCTGTGAAACTACATTGTGATGTGTGGATTCATCTCAGAGAGTTAACTCTTTATTGTTATCCAGAAGAGTTGAAACACTCTTTTTGTAGAATCTGCAAAGGGACACTTTTAGGTCCCTTAAGTCCTATGAAGGAAAGAGAAAATCCACAGATAAAAACTGAAAAGAAGCTATCTGGTAAACTGCTTTGTGATGTGTGGATTCATCTAACAGAGTTAAACCTTTCATTTGATTCAGCTGGTTGGAAACACTCTAATTGCAGCATCTGTAAAATGACATCTGGGAGCCGAATGTGACCTATGGGGAAAACCCGAGTTTCCTCATAAAAACTAGAAAGAAGAAATCTATGAAACTTCTTTGTGATGTGTGGATTCATCTGAGAGAGACAAACCTCTCTTTTGATTCAGGAGGTTGGAAACACTGTTTTTGGAGGGACATTTGGGAGCCAATTGGAGAGAAACAGAATATCCCTACATAAAAATTAGAAAGTGTCAATCTGTAAAGCTGCTTTGTGCCATGCAGATTCATCTCATGGAATTAAAACTTTCTTTTGATTCAGCAGGTTAGAAATACTCTTTTTGTAGAATTTGTGAATGGACATTTGGGAGCCCATTTAGGTATGCAAATGAAAACTGAATATCTACAGATAAAAACTAGAAAGAAGCTCTCTGAGAAACTGCTTTGTGATGTGTGGACTCATCTCACAGAATTAAACCTTTCTTTTGACTCAGCAGGACGGAAACACTCTTTTTAGAGAATCTGAGAAGGGACACTTGGGAGCCCATTGTGGCCTATGGGTAAAAATAAATAATCCAAAATAAAAACTAGAAAGAAGCTATCTGTGCAACTGCTTTTCATTGTTTGGGTGCATCTCACAGAGTTAAACATGTCTTTTGATACAGAAGGTTGGAAACACTCTTTTTGAAGAATCTGAGAATGGACATTTTGGAACCCTTTGAGTCCTATGGGGAAGAACTAACTATCCCCAGATAAAAACTGGAAAGAAGCTGTCTGTGAAACTGCTTTGTGGTGTGTGGAGTGTTCAAACTTTCTTCTGATTCAGCAGGTTGAAAAAAATCTTTTAGGAGAATCTGTGTAGGGACAGTTGGGAGCATATTGGGGTTTATGGGGTAATACTGAATATCCAGAGATAAAAACTATAAGTAAGGTATCTGTGAAACTATTTTTTTGGGTGTATGGATTCACTTCACAGAGTTAAAGCTTTGTTTTGATTCAGCGGTTTGCAAACACTGTTTTTGCAGAATCTGCAAATGGACATTTGGGAGTCTATATAGGCCTAATGAGAAAAACTGAATATGCCCAGGAAAAAACGAGAAAGAAGCTATTTGTGAAACAGCTTTGTGATATGTGGATTCATCTCACAGAGTTAAACCTTTCTTTTGATTCAGCAGGCTGGAAACACTCGTTTCGGAAAATCTGAGAAGTGATATTTCAGAGCCCAATGAGACCTCTGGGGCAAAAAGATTATCCGCAGATAAAATCTAGAAAGACGCTATCTGTGAAAGTGCTTTGTGATGTGTCAGTTCATCTCACAAAATTAAAACATTCTTTTGTTTCAGCAGATTGGAAACATTCTTTTTGGAGAATCTACAAAAGAACATTTGGGATCTAATTGAGGCGTACGGGGAAAACTCGAATATTTCCAGAGAAAAACTAGAATGTGGCAATCTGTGAAACTGCTTTCTGATGTGTGGATTCATCTCACAGAGCTAATCCTTTCTTTTCATTCAGAATGTTTGAAACACTCTTTTTGTAGAGTCTGTAAAGTGACATTTGGGAGCCCTTTGAGGTCTATGGAGAAAAACCGAATGTCTCCAGAAAAAAAACTAGAGAAAAGCTATCTGTGAAACTGCTTTGTGATGTGTAGATTCATCTCACAGAGATAAACCTTTCTTTTGATCCAAAACGTTAGAAACTATTTGGAAAGTCTGTAAAAGGACATTTGGGAGCCCATTTAAGAATGCACACATCACAAAGCAGTTTCTCAGAAAGCTTCTTTCTTGTTTTTATCTGATGATATTTTCTTTTTCACCAGAGGCTTCAATGTGCTCCCAAACGTCCTTTCACGGATTCTACAAAAACCCTGTTTAAACACTGCTGAAAAAAAGAAAGGATTAACTCTGAGAGATAAATGCACACAAAAAGAAATGGGTTCTCAGATAGCTTCCTTCTAGTATTTTATTTTTTTTTTTTTGGTGGGGGAGATATTCGCTTTTTCACCACTGGCCACAATGAGCTCTGAAATATCCATTCACAGAACGTACATAAGCAGTGTTTCCAAACTGCTGAATCATAAGAAAGGATTAAATCTGTGAGAAGAATGCACACACCATGAAGCTGTTTCTCAGATATCTCCCTGTTTTGATCTTGGGATATTGGCTTTTTCATCATTAGCCTCAATGAGCTATGAATGTCCATTTGCAGAATGTGCAAAGGCAGTGTTTCCAAACTGCTGAATCAACAGAGACTTTTAAATCTGTGAGATGAATGCATACATCACAAAGCAGCCTCTCAGATAGCTTCCTTCTAGTTTTTCTCTTCAGATATTTGCTTTGTCATTGTTGCCCTCAATGAGCTATCAAATGTCCATTTGTAGAATGTCAAAGAACAGTGTTTCCAAAATACTGAGTTGAAAGAAAGGTTTAACTCTGTGAGGTGAATGCACACATCACAGAGCAGTTTCTCAGAAAGCTTCTTTCCAGTTTTTATCTGAATACATTTTCTTTTTCACCGTAGCCCTCAATACACTCCCAAATGTCCTTTTGCAAATTCTACAAAAACAGAGTTTTGAAACTTCTGAATCAAAAGAAAGGTTTATTCTGTGAGAAGAAGGCATATATCACAAAGTGGTTTTTCAGATAGCTTCCTTCTAGTTTTTATCTTGGGATATTCACTTTTTCACCTTTGGCCTCAATGAGGTACAAAATGGCAATTCAGAGATTGTACAAAAATATTGTTTCTAAACTGCTGAATCAAAAGAAAGTTTTACTTCTGTGAGGTGAATGCACACAAAACAAACTAGTTTCTCAGAAAGCCCCTTTATAGTTTACATTTGAAGGTATTTTCTTTTTTACCATAGGCCCAAATGCACTCCCAAATGTCCTTTCACAGATTACGCAAAAACAGTGTTTCCAAACTGCTGAAGCAAAAGAAAGTTTTAACTCTGTGAGAAGAATGCAAACAGCACAAAGCAGTTTCTGAGATAGCTTTCTTCTAGTTTTTATATTGGGATATTCATATTTTCACCATTGGCCTCGATGAACTCCTAAATGTCCATTCAAAGAATGGACAAAAACAGTGTTTCCAAACTGCTGAATCAACTTAAAGGTTTAAACCTGTGAGAGGAATGCACACAGAACAAGGCAGTTTCTCAGAAAGCTTCTTTCTAGTGTTTATCTTGGGATATTCACTTTTTAACTATTCGTCACAGTGAGCTCCGAAATATCCATTTGCAGAATGTACAGAATCAGTTTTTCCCAACTGCTGAATGAACAGAAATGTTTAACTCTGTGAGATGAATGCACACAGCACAAAGCAGTTTCTCAGATAGCTTCCTTCTAGGTTTTATTCTTGGATATTCACTTTTTTGCCTTTGGCCTCAATGAGTTCCCAATTGTCCATTAGCTTTGTGCATTAAAGGCAATGGAGAAATAGTGAATATCCCAGGATAAAAACTAGAAGGAAGCTATATGAGAAACTGCTTTGTGATATGCGCATTCATCTCACAGAGTTAAACCTTTCTTTTCATTCTCCAGTATTGAAACACTCCTTTTGCAGAATCTGCAAAGAGATATTTCAGAGAGCATTGAGGCCTATGGTGAAGTATGAAACATCGTCAGATAAAAACTAGAAAGAGGCTTTCTGAGAAACTGCTTTGTGATGTGTGCATTCATCTCACAGAGTTAAAACTTTCTTTAGATACAGCAGTTTGGAAACACTGTTTTTGACCATTCTGCGAAGAGACATTTGGGAGCTCATTGAGGCCAATGGCAAAAAAGGGAATTTACCAGGATAAAAATTAGAAGGAAGCTATCTGAGAAAACTCTTTGTGAGGTGTGCATTCATCACACAGAGTTAAACCTTTCTTTTCATTCAGCAGTTTGGAAACATTGTTTTTGTAGGATCTGCAAAGGGATAATTCAGAGAGCATTGAGGCCTATATTGAAAAAGGAATCATCTTCAGATAAAAACTAGAAAGAAGCTTTCTGAGAAACGACTTTGGGCTCTGTGCCTTCATCTCACAGAGTTAAAACTTTCTTTGGATTCAGCAGTTTGGAAACACTGTTTTTATAGAATATGCAAAGGGATATTTCGGAATGAATTGAGGCCTATGGTGAAAAAGGAAACACCTTCAGCTAAAAACTAGAATCTTTCTGAGAAACTGCTTTGTGATGTGTGCATTCGTCTCACAGACTTAAGCCTTTCTTTGGATTCAGCAGTTTGGAAACACTGCTTTTGTCCATTCTGCGAATGGACATTTCCCAGCTCATTGAGGCTAATGGCGAAAAAGTGAGTATCTCAGGATAAAAACTAGAAGGAAGCTATCTGAGAAACTGCTTTGTGATGTGTGCATTCGTCTCATGGAATCAGAGCTTTCTTTCTTTTCATTCAGCTGTTTGGAAACAGTGTTTTTGTAGGTTCTGCAACGGGATATTCTGGAGAGCATTGAGACCTAAGGTGAAAAAGGAAACATCTTCAGATAAAAATTAGAAGGAAGCTTTCTGAGAAACTGCTTTTTCATATGTGCATTTATCTCACAGAGTTCAACTTTTCTTTGGATTCCACAGTTTGGAAGCACTGTTTTTGTCCATTCTGTGAATGGACATTTTGGAGCTCACTGAGGCCAATGGCAAAAAAGCAAATATCCCAGTCTAAAAACTAGAATGACGCTATAAGAGAAACCACTTTGTGAGGTGTGCATTCATCTCACAGAGTTAAACTTTTCTGTTCATTCAGCAGTTTGGGAGCTCGGTTTTTGTAGAATCTGCATTTGGGAACTCAGTTTTTGTAGAATCTGCAAAAGGATATTTCTATGTGCATTGAGGCCTATGGTGAAAAAGGAAACATCTTCAGATAAAAACTAGACGGAGGCTTTGTGAGAAACTGCTCTGTGATTCTGTGATGTGTGCATTCAACTCAAAGATTCAAACCTTTCTTTGATTTCAGCTGTTTGGAACACTGTTTTTGTCCCTTTTGTGAATGGACATTTTGTAGCTCATTGGGGTCAATGGCAGAAAAGTGAATTACCCAACAATAAAAATGAGAAAGAGGTTATGTGAGGAACTGCATTGTAAGGTGTGCATTCATCTTTCAGAGATGAAAGTTTTTCATTCAGAAGTTTGAAAACGCTTTTTGTAGAATATTTAAAGGGATATTTCAGAGAGCATTGAGGCCTATGGTGGAAAAGGAAGCATCTTCAGGTAAAAACTACAAAGAAGCTTTCTGAGAAACTGCTATGTGATGCCTGCATTCATCTCACAATGTTTTCCTTGAATTCTGCACTTTAGAAATATTGTTTTTTTCCGTTCTGTGAATGGACATTAGGGAGCTCATCGGGGCCAAAGGCGAACAAGCAAATATCCCAGGATAAAACCTAGAAGGAAGCTATCTGAGAAAAGCCTTTAGTATGTGCGCATTCACCTCGCAGAGTTAAACCTTTCTTTTCATTCAGCAGTTTGTAAACACTATTTTTGAATAATCTGCAAAGGGATATTTTGGAGAGCATTGAGGCCTATCATGAAAAAAGAAACATCTTCAGATAAAAAATAGAAAGATTCTTTCTGAGAAACTGCTTTGTGATGTGTGCCTTCATCTCAGAGTATTAAACCTTTCTCTGGATTCAGAAGTTTGGAAACACTGTTTTTATCCATTCTGCGAATGGACATTTGGGAGCTCGTTGAGGCCAATGTTGAAAATGCAAATGTCCCAGGATAAAAGCTACAAGGGAGCAGTCTCAGAAACTGCTTTGTGATGTGTGCATTCATCCCTCATAGAAAAACGTTTCTTTTCATGCAGCTGTTTGTAAATATTGCTTTTGTAGACTCTCTGAAGGGAGATATTGGAGCACTTTGTGGCCTATATTGACAATGGAAACACCCTCAGATAAAAACTAGAAAGAAGCTTTCTGAGAAACTACTTTGTGATGTGTGCATTCATCTCACAGAGTTAAATCTTTCTTTTAATTCGGCTATATGGAAACACTCTTTTTGTCCATTGTGTGAATTGTCATTTGGTAGCTCAATGAGGGCAATGGAGAAAAAGCAAATTACCCTAGGGTAAAAACTAGAAGGAAGCTAAGTAGGAAACCACACAGCTATGTGTGCATTCATTTCTCAGAGTTAAACCTTTCTTTTCTTTCAGCAGTTAGGGAGGACTGTTTTTGTTGAATCTGCTAAGGCATATTTGGGAGAGCATTGAGTCTTGTGGTGTAAAAGGAAACATCTTCAGATAATAACTAGAAAGAAGCTTTCTGAGAAAGTGCTTTGTGAAATATGCATTCATCTCACAGAGTTAATTTTGGATTCAGCAGTTTGGAAACACTGTTATTGTCTATTCTGCAAACGGACATTTGGGAGATCATTTAGGCCAATTGCAGAACAGAAAATGTCTGAGGATGAAAACCAGAAGGAAGCTATCTGAGAAATCACTTTGCAACATGTGCATTCATCTCACAGAGCTAAAGTTTCCTTTTCACTCATCAGTTTGGAAACCCTGTTTGTTTAGAATCTGCAAAGGGATATTGTGGAGAGCATTGAGGCCTAAGGTGAAAAAGGAAACATCGTCACATAAAAATTAGAAAGAAGCTTTCTAAGAAACTGCTTTATGATGTGTGCAATCATCTTACAGAGTTAAACTTTTCTTTGGATTCAGCAGTTGGGAAACACTGTTTTTGTCCATTCTACAATTGCACATTTTGTAGCTCATTGAGGCCAATGGCAAAAAAGCAAGTGTCCAAGGATAAAAACTACAAGAAAGCTATCTCAGAAACAGCTTTGTGATATTTGCATTCATCCCTCAGAGATAAACCTTTCTTTTCATGGAGCTGTTTGTAAACACTGTTTTTGTAGAATCTTCAAAGTGATATTATAGTGTGCATTGAGGACTATGGTGAAAAAGGAAACATCTTCATATAAAAACTAGAAAGAAGTTTTCTGAGAAACTGCTTTGTGATGTGTACATTAATCTAAAAAAGTTAAACATTTCTTTGGATTCAGCCAGTTGGAAACTGTTTCTGTCCAATCTGCAAATGGACATTTGGGAGTTCTTTGAGGCCAATGGTGAAAAAGCAATTATCCCAGGATAAAAACTAGATGGAAGCTATCTGAGAAACTGCTTATTGATGTGTTCATTCATCTCACAGAGTTAAACCTTTCTTTTCATTCAGCAGTTTGGAAATACTCTGTTTTCAGACTCTGCAAAGGGATACTTCAGAAAGCATTTAGGCCTATGGTGAAAAATGAAACATCTGCAGATAAAAACAGGAAAGAAGGTTTCTGAGAAACTACTTTGTGATGCATGCATTCATCTCACAGAGTTATACCTTTGTTTGGATTCAGCAGTTTGGAAACACTGTTTTTGTCCATTCTGTGAAAGGACATTTCGGAGCTTGTTGAGACCAATGGAGAAGAAGTGAATATCCCAGGATACAAACTAGAAGGAAGCTATCTGAGAAACTAATTTGTGATGTGCACATTTACTCCCAGAGGTAAGTCTTTCTTTTCATTCAGCAGTTTGGAAATGATTTTTTTGGATAATCTGCAAAGAGATATTTTGGAGAGCATTGAGGTCTATGGTGAAAAAGGAAATATCTATAGATAAAAAATAGAAATAAGATTTCTGAGAAACTGCTTTGTGATGTGTTTGTTCATCTGACAGACTTAAAGCTTTCTTTGGATTCAGTAGTTTGCAATGAGTGTTTTTGTTCATTCTGTGAATTGACATTTTGGAGCTGATTGAGGCCAATGGTGAAAAAGCAAATATCCCAGGAAAGAACTAGGTGGAAGATATCTGAGAAACTGCTATGTGATGTTTGCATTCATCACGTAGAGTTAAAATTTTCTTTGGATTCAGCAGTTTGGAAACACTGTTTTTGTGCATTCTACAAATGGATATTTGGGAGGTAATTGAGGCAAAATGTGAAAAAGTGAATATCACTTTATAAACACTAGAAGGATGCTATCTGAGAAACTGCTGTGTGATGTGTGCATTCATCTGACTGAGTTAAAGCTTTCTTTTCACACAGCAGTTTGGAAACAGTGTTTTTGTAGAATCTGGAAAGGTATATTTCAGAGAGCATTGAGGCCTATGGTGAAAATGGAAACAGCTTCAGATAAAAACAGGAAAGAAGCTTTCTGAGAACCTCCTTTGTGATGTGTGCATTCATCTCACAGATTTTAACTGTTCTTTGGATTCAGTAGTTTGGATACACTGCTTTGTTCCATTCTGTGAATGGACTTGTGGGAGCTCATTGGGCCCAATGGCAAAAGAGTGAATATCCCAGGATAAAAACAAGAAGGACTCTATCTGAGAAACTGAGAAACTGCTTTATGATGCATGTGCGTGCATTCATCTCACTGAGTTATACCTTTCTTTTCTTTCAGCAGTTTGGAATCACTGTTTTTTTAGAATCTGTGAAGAGATATTTCAGAGAGATTTGAGATCTATGGTGAAAAAGGAAACATCAGCAGATAAAAACTAGAAAGAAGCTTTCTGAGAAATTGCTTTGTGATGTGTGCATTCATCTCACTGACTTAAAACTTTCTTCAGATTCAGTGGTTTGGAAACAATTTTTTTTCTATTCTGCAAATGGACATTTCGGAGCTCTTTGGGGCCAATGGCAAAAGAGGGAATATCCCAGGATAAAAACAAGATAGAAGCTAACAGAGAAACGGCTATGTGATCTCTCTATTCATCTCACAGAGTTAAACTTTTCTTTTCATTCAGCAGTTTGGAAACACTGTTTTTGTAGAATCTGCAAAGGGATATTTCAGAGAGCATTGAGGCTTATGGTGAAAATGGAAACACCCTCAGATAAAAACTAGAAGGACGCTTTCTGAGAAACTGCTTTGTGATGTGTGCATTCATCTCACAGAGTCAAACCTTTGTTTACATTCAGCTGTTTGGAAACACTGTTTTTGTAGAATCTACAAAGGGATATTTCAGAGAGCATTGAGGCCTATGGTGAAAAAGGAAACATCCTCAGATAAAAACCAGAAAGAAGCTTTCTGATAAACTGCTGTGTTATGTGTGCATTCATGTCACAGAGGTAAAACTTTCTTTCAATTCAGTAGTATGGAAACATTGTTTTTGTCCATTCTGAAAATTGACATTTGGGAGCTCATTGTGGCCAATGGTTAAAGAGCGAATATTCCAAGGTAAAAACTAGAAGGAAGCTATCTGAGAAACTGCTTTGTGATGTGTGTATTCATCTAACAGAATTAATCCTTTCTTCTCATTCAGCCGTTTAGTAACACGGATTTTTTTAAGAATTTACAAAGGGATATTTCGGAGAGCATTGAGGCATATGTGTAAAAGGAAACATCTTCAGAAAAACTTGAAAGAAGCATTCTGAGAAACCACCTTGTGATGTGGGCATTCCTCACACTGAGCTGAACCTTTCTGTTCTTTCAGCAGTTTGGAAACATGTTATTTTAAGAATCAACAAAGTTATATTTCAGAGAGAATTGAAGTCTATGGTGAAAAAGGAAACATCTTCAGAAAAAAACTAGAAAGCAGCATTCTGAGAAACTGCTTTGTGGTGTGTGCCTTCATCTAAAAGAGCTAAAACTTTCTTGGGATTCAGTAGTTTAGAAAGAGTGTTATGTCCATTCTGTGAATGGACATTTGGGAGCACATTGAGACCAATGGTGAAAAAGTGAATATCCCTGGATAAAAACGGATGGATGCTATCTGAGAAACTTCTAAATGATGTGTGCATTCATCTCACAGAGTTAAACCTTTCTTTGCATTCAGCAGTTTGGAACCATTGTTTTTGTAGAATGTGCAAATGGATATTTCAGAGAGAATTAAGGCCTAAGGTGAAAAAGAAATCATCTTCAGATAAAAACAAGAAATAAACATTCTGAGAAACTGCTTTGTAATGTGTGCATTCATCTCATAGAATTAAACGTTTGTTTGGATTCAGCAGTTTGGAAACTGTTTTTATAGGATCTGCAAAGGATATTCAGAGAGCATTGTGGCCTATGGTGAGAAAGGAAACACCTTCAGATAAAAACTAGCAAGGAGCTTTCTGAGAAACTGCTATGTGATGTGTGCATTCATCTCACATAGTTAAACCTTTCTTTGGATTCAGTAGTTTGGAAAGAGTTTTTTTTTTTTTTCCATTCTGTGAATGGATATTTGGGAGGTCATTGAGGTCATTGGCGAAAAAGCAAATGTTCCAGGATGAAAACTAGAAAGAAGCTTTCCAGGAAACTGCTATGTGATGTGTGCATTCATCTCACAGAGTTAAAACTTTCTTTTCTTTCAGCAGTTTTTAAACACTCTTTTTTTAGAATTCGCAAAGGGATATTTCAGAGAAGATTGAGGCCTGTGGTGAAAAAGGTAACATCTTCAGGTACAAACTATAAAGAAACATTGTGAGAAACTGCTTTGAGATGTGTGCATTCATCTCACAGAGTTAAACCTCTCTTTTCTTTCAGTAGTTTGGAAACACGGATATGTAGAATCTGAAAAAAGATATTTCGGTGAGCCTTGAGGCCTATGGTGAAAAAGAAAACATCTACACATAAAAACTACAAAGAAATTTTCTGAGAAACTGCTTTGTGATGTGTGCATTCATCTCACAGAGTAAAACCTTTCTTTGGATTCAGTAGTTTGGAAAGAGTGTTTTCGTAGAATCTTCAAAGGGATATTTTGGAGAGCATTGAGGACTAAGGTGAAATAAAATCATCTTCTGATAAAAACTATAAAGAAACTTTCTGAGAGACTGCTTTGTGATATGTACATTTATCTCAGAGAGTTAAACCTTTGTTTTTATTCAGCAGTTTAGAAACACTGTTTTTGTCCATTACATCCATGGACATTTTGGAGCTCATTAGGGACAATGGCAAAAAATAGAATATCCCAGGATGAAAACTAGAAGCGAGCTATCTGAGAAACTGTTATTTGATGTGTACATTCGTGTCACAGAGTTAAAACCTTCTATTCATTCAGCAGTTTGGAAACACTGTTTTTGTAGAATCTGCAAAGGGATATTTTGGAGAGCATTGATGCCTATTGTGAAAAAGGAAACATCTTCAGATAAAAACCATTAAGAGGTTTCTGAGAAACTTCTCTGTGATGTGTGTATTCATCCACAGAGTTAATCCTTTCTTTAGATTTAGCAGTTTGGAAACACTGTTTATGTCCATTCTGTGAATAGACATTTGGGAGTACTTGGAGGCCAAAGGTGAAAAAACTGAATATCCCAGAATAAAAACTAGAAGGAAGCTATCTGAGAAACTCCTAAGTGATATGTACATTCATCTTGCAGAATAAAATGACTCTTCATTCAGCAGTTTGGAAACACTGTTTTTACAGAATCTGCAAAGGGATATTTTGGAGATCATTGAGGTCTATGTTGAAATAGCAAACATCTTCTGATAAAAATTAGAAAGAAGCTTACTGAGAACCTTCTTTTTGATGGGTGCATTCATTGCACAGAGTTAAACCTTTATTTGGATTCAGCACTTTGGAAACACTATTTTTTGTCCATTCTGCAAATGGACATTTGGGAGTTCTTTGAGTCCAGTGATGAAAAAGCTAATATCCTGTGATAAAAACTAGAAAGAAGCTATCTGAGAAACCGCTTTGTGATGTGTCCATTCAACTCACAGAGTTAAAACTTTCTTTTCATTCAGCAGTTTGGAAGCACTGTTTTTGTGAAATCTGCAAAGGGATATTTCAGAGAGCGTGGAGATCTATGGTGAAAAAGGAAGCATCTTCAGATAAAAACTGGAAAGAACTTTCTGAGAAACTGCCTTGTGATATGTCCATTCATCACAAAGACTTAAAGTTTTCTTTGGATTCACTAGCTTAAAAACACCGTTTTTGCCCATTCTGTGAATGGACATTTTGGAGCTCATTGAGGCCAGTGGTAAAAAAGTGAACATCTGAGGATGGAAACTAGAGGGAAGCTCTCTGAGAAACCGTTTTGTGATGTGTGCATTCATCTCACAGAATTAAACCTTTCTTTCCATTCAGCAGTTTGGAAACACTGGTTGTAGAATCTTCAAAAGGATGGTTATAAGAGCACTGAGGCCTCTGGTGAAAAAGGAAACAACTTCAGATAAAAGCTAGAAAGAAGCCTTCTGAGAAACTGCTGTGTGATGTGTGCATTCATCTCACAGAGTTAAACACTTCTATGGATTCAGCAGTGTGGAAACACTGTTTTTCTCCATTCTACAAATGGACATTTGGGATTTGCTTGAAGCCAATGGTGAAAAACCGAATATCCCAGGATAAAAACTAGAAGGAATCTAACTTAGAAAGTGCTATGTGATGTGTCTATTCATCTCACAGAGTTAAATTTTTCTTTTCATTGTGTGGTTTAGAAACACTGTTTTTTAGAGTCTGCAGTGGGATATTTAAGAGAGCAATGAGGCCTATGGTTAAATAAGAAACGTCTACAAATAAAAACAAGAAAGAAGCTTTCTGAGAAACTTCTTTGTGATTTGGGCATTCATCTCTCAGAGATAAATCTTTCTTTGGATGCTGCAGTTTGGAAACACTGTTTTTTTTAGAATCTGCAAAGGGATATTTCAGAGACCACTGAGGAGTACTGTGAAGAAGGAAACATCTTCAGATAAAAACTAGGAAGGAACTTGTGTGCATTCATCTTGCAGAACTAAACCTTTCTTCTCATTCAGCGGTTTGGAGACACTCTTTTTGTAGAATTTGCAAAAAGATATCTTAGAGAGCTTCGTGGCCTATGGTGAAAAAGGAAACATCTTCAGATAAAAACTAGGAAGAAGCTTTCTGGGAAAGTGCATAGTCATGAGTGTATTCATATCACAGACTTAAAACTTTCTTTGGATTCAGTAGTTTGGAAACTGTTTTTGTTCATTCTGTGAATGGACATTTGTGAGCTCATTGAGAACACTTGAGGACACTGGCAAAAAAGTGAATATCCCAGTGTAAAATCGAGAAGGAAGTTATCAGAGAAACTGCTTTGTGATATGTGCTTTCATCTCACAGTGTTAAACTTTTCTTTAGGTTCAGCAGTTTGGAAACACTGTTTTAGTCCATTCTGCAAAAGACATTGGGGAGCTCTTTGAGGCCAATTGCAAGAAAAAGTGAATATTCTGGAAAGCTATTTGAGAAACTGCTATGTAAAGGGTGCATTAATCTTGCAGAGTTAAACCTTTCTTTTAACTGAGAAGTTTGGCAACACCATTTTTGTGGTATCTGCAAAGGGATATTTCAGAGAGAATTGAGGCCTATGGTGAAAAAGGAAACATCTTCAGATAAAGACAAGGAGAAGATTTCTGAGAAACTGCTTTGAGATGTGTGCATTCAACTCACAGAGTTATACTTATCTTTACATTCAGCTGTTTGGAAACACTGGTTTTGTAGAATCTGCAAACACATATTTCGAGAGCATTGAGGCCTAAGGTGAAAAAGGAAACATCTTCAGATAAAACTAGAAAGAATTTTCTGAGAGACTACTTTGTGATGTGTGCATTCATCTCACAGACTTAAACCTTTCTTTGGATTCAGTAGTTTGGAAACACTGTTTTAGTCCAAGATGTGAATGGACATATGGGAGCACACTGAGGACTCTGGCAAAAAAAAGCAAATACCCAAGAGTAAAAACTAGAAGGAAGGGATCTGAGAAACCTGCTTTGTGATGTATGCATTCATCTCACAGATTTAAACATTCCTTTTCATTCAGCAATTTGGAAACACTGTTTTTTTAGAATCTGCAAAGGGATATTTTGCAGAGCATGGAGGCCTATGGTTAAAAAGGAAACATTTTTGGCTAAAAACTAGAAGGAAGCTTTCAGAGAAACTGCTTTGTGATGTGTTAATTCACCTCACAGAGTTAAAACTTTCTTTGGATTCAGTAGGTTGGAAAGAGTGTTTTTGTCCATTCTGTGAGTGTGCATTTGGCAAAGAAGAAATTACCCCAGGATAAAAACTAGAAGGAAGCTATATGAGAAACTGCTTTCTGATGTGTGCATTCATCTAACAGAGGTAAAACTTTCTTGGGATTCAGTAGTTTGGAAAGAGTGTTAAGTCCATTCTCTGAGTGGACATTTGGGAGCTCATTGAGGCCAATGGTGAAAAAGAGAATATCCCAGGAAAAAAACAGACGAAATCTATTTGAGAAACTGCTGTGTGATGTGTGCATTCATCTTGGAGATTTAAACCTTTCTTCTCATTCAGCCGTTTTTAAACACTGTTTTTGTAGAATCTGCAAAGGAATATTTCAAAGACCATTGAGGCCTAAGGTGAAAAAGGAAACATCTTCAGATAAAAAACAGAAAAAAGCTTTCTGAGAAACTGCTTTGTGATGTGTGCATTCAACCCACAGACTTAAAACTTTCTTTGAATACAAAGTTTGGAAACACTGTTTTTCTTCATTCTGAGAATGGATATTTGGGATTTCATTGAGGCCAATACAGAAAAAGTGAATATCCCAGTATAAAATCTACAAGACTATCTAAACACTGTTTTTGTAGAATCTGCAAAGGGATATTTCAGAGATCATTGAGGCCTAAGGTGAAAAAGGAAACATCTTCAGATAAAAAATAGAATGAAGCTTTCTGAGAAACTGCTTTGTGATGTGTGCATTCAACTCACAGAGTTAAAACTTTCTTTGAATACAGAGTTTGGAAACAATATTTTTCTTCATTCTGTGAATGGACATTTGGGACTTAATCGAGGCCAATATAGAAAAAGTGAATATCCCAGGATAAAATCTGCAAGATTATCTACAGGATAGAATCTATCAGAGAAACTGCTTTGTGATGTGTGCTTTCATCTCACAGAGTTAAACCTTGCTTTTCATTCAGCAGTCTGGAAACACTGATTTGTAGAATCTGCTGAGGGATATTTTGGAGAGCTTTGAGATTTCTGTTGAAACAGAAAATATTTTCAGATTAAAAACTAGAAAGAAGCTCTCTGGGAAACCCCTTTCTGATGTGTGCTTTCATCTCAGAGAGTTAAATCATTCTTTGTATTCAGGAGTTTGGAAACAGTGTTTTTGTCCATTCTGCAAATGGATATTTTGGAGCTCATTTAGGCCAATGAGGAAAAAGCAAATGTCCCAGCATAAACACTAGAAGGAAGCTACCTGAGATGCGGCTTTGTCATGTGTGCATTCATCTCACAGAGTTTAACCTTTCTTTCTTTAGGCAGTTTGGAGACTCTGTTTTTCTAGAATCTTCAAAGGGATATTTTGGAGAGCATTGAGGCCTATTGTGAAAAAGGTAAAATCTTCAGGTAAAAACTAGAAGAAAAACTTTCTGAGAAACTGCCTTGTGATGTGTGTATTCATTTCACAGGGTTAAACTTTTCTTTGAATTCTGCAGTTTGGGAACAATGTTTTTCTCCATTCTGCAAATGGACATTTAAGACTTCATTGAACCCAATGGCAAAAAAGTGACTATCCCAGGAAGAAATCTAGAAGGAAGCCATGTGAAAAACCACTTTGTGATGTGTGCATTCATCTCACAGAGTTAAACATTTCTTTTTATTCAGCTGTTTGTAACCACTGTTACGTAGAATTTGCAAAGGTTTATTTTGGACAGCATTGAGGCCTTCGGTGAAATAGGAAACATCTTCAGATAAAAACTAGAAAGAAGCTTTCTGAGAAACTACTTAGTGATGTGTGCATTAATCTGACAGTGTTAAATCTTTCTTTGAATTTAGCAGTTTTGAAACACTTTTTTTGTCCATTCTGTGAATGGACGTTTCAGAGCTCATTCAGGCCAATGGTGAAAAAGCAAATATCCCAGGATAAAAAGTAGCAGGAATCTATCTGAGAAACTGCTATTTGATGTGTGCAGTCATCTCGCAGTGTTAAATCTTTCTTTTCATTCAACAGTTTGGAAACCCTTTTATTGGATTAAGTAGTTTGGAAAGAGTGTTTGTCCATTCTGCTAAAGGACATTTTGGAGCCCATTGAGGCCAATGGCAGAAAATCGAATATCCCAGGATAAAAAGGATGGAAGCTATCTGAGAAACTGCTACACCATGTGTGCATTCATCTCACAGATTAAACTTTTCTTTTCTTTCAGTAGTTTGGAAACACTTTTTTTTAGAATCCGCAAAGTCATATTTTGGAGAGTATTGTGGCCTGTGGTTAAAAAGGATACATCTTCAGTTAAAAACTAGAAAGAAGCTTTTGGAGAAACTGCTTTTTGATGTGCACATTAATCTTATGGATTTAATCCTTTCATTGCATTCAGCAATTAGGAAACACGGTTTTTCTCAATTCTGCAAAGGGACATTTGGGAGTTCATTAAAGGCCAATAGTGAAAGAGCAAATATCCCAGGATAAAATCTAGAAGGAAGCTATTTGAGAAACTGCTTTGTCATGTATGCATTAATCTTACACAGTTAAACCTTTCTTTTCATTCAGTAGTTTGGAAACACTTTTTTCTCCCTTCTGCAAATGGACATTTGGGACTTAATAGAGGCCAATGGTGAATAAGCAAATATCCCGAGAAAAAATCTTAAGAAATTTAACTGAGAAACCGTTTTTTGATGTGTGCATTAGTCTCAAAGAGTTAAATCTTTCTTTTCATTCAGCAGTTTGGAAACACAGTTTTTGTATAATCTGCGAGGGGATATTTTGGAGAGCATTGAGACCTATGGTGAAATAGGAAACATCTTCAGATAAAAACTACAAAGAAGCTTTCTGAAAAATTGCTTTGTTATGTGTTCATTCATTTCACAGAGATAAATCTTTATTTGGATTCAGCAGTTTGGAAAGAGTGTGTTTGTCCATTTTCCTCATGGGCATTTGGGAGCTCATATAGGCCAATGATGAAAATGTAAATATCCCAGGATAAAAACTAGAAAGAAGGTGCCTGAGAAACTGCTATGTTATGTGGGCATTCATCTCACAGACTTCAAACTTTCTTTGGATTCATTAGTTTGGAAACACTGCTTTTGGCCATTCTCTGAATGGACATTTCAGATCTCACTGAGGCAGAAAGCAGAAAAGTGAATATCCCAGGCTAAAAACAAGAAGGAAGGTATCTGAGAAACTGCCTTGTGATGTGTGCATTCATCTCACAGAGTTAAACTTTTCTTTTCATTCAGCAGTGTAGAAAGAGTTTTTTTAGAAACTGCAAGGGGATATTTCAGAGAGTATTGAGCCTATGGTGAAAAAGGAGACAACTTCAGATAAAAACTAGAAAGAACCTTTCTGAGAAACTGCTTTGTGATGTGTGCATTTATCTCACAGACTTAAACCATCCTTTGGATTCAGCAGTTTGGAATCACTGTTTTTGTCCTTTCTGCGAATTGACATTTGGGAGCTCATTGAGGCCAATGGCAGAACATTGAATATCCCAAGATAAAATCTATAAGGAAGCTATCTGAGAAACCCCTTGGGATGTGGGCATTCATTTCAAAGAGGTAAAGCTTTCTTTTCACACAGCAGTTTGGAACCAGTGATTCTGTGGATTCTTCAAGGGGATATTTCAGACAGTTTTTGGCTTATGGTGAAAATGAAAACATCTTCACATAAAAACTAGAAAGAAGCTTTCTTAGAAACTACTTTGTGATGTGTGCATTCATCTCATAGAGTTAAAAGTTTCTTTGAATTCAGTAATTTGGAAACACTGCTTTTGTCCATTCCACAAGTGGACATTGGGAAACTCATTAGGGCCAAAGGCAAAAAGTGAATATCCAAGGATAAAAAGTAGAAGGAAGCTATCTGAGGAATCGCTTTGTGATGTGTGCATACATCTCACAGAGTTAAACCTTTCTTTTCATTCAGCAGTTCAGAAACACGGTTTTAGAATAATCTAAAAATAGATATTTCAGAGTGCTTTGAGGCCTATAGTGAAAAAGGAAACATCTTCAGGTAAAAACTAGAAAGAAGCTTTCTGCGAAACTGCTTTGTGATGTGTGCATTCATCTCACAGTGGTAAACGTTTCTTTTCATTGAGCAGTTTGGAAACTCTGTTTTTCTAGAATCTGCAAAGGGATATTTGTGAGAGCTTTGAGGCCTGTGGTGGAAAAAGGAAATATCTTCCCATAAAAACTAGACAGAAGCTTTCTGAGAAACCTCTTTGTGATGTGTGCATTCATCTCACAGAGTTAATTTCATTCAGCAGTTTGGAACCACTTTTTTTATACGATCTGCAAAGTGATATTTCGGAGAGCATTGAGGTCTATGTTGAAAAAGGAAAAATCTTCAGATAAAAACAAGAAGGAAGGTTTCTCAGGAACTACTTTTTGATGTGTGCATTCATCTCACAGAGTTCAAATCTTTCTTTGAATTTAACAGTTTGGAAACCCTGTTTTTGTCCATTCTATGAAAGGACATTTGGGAGGTTATTGAGGCCAATGGCAAAAAAGCAAATATCCCAGGATGAAAACTAGAAGGAGGCTATCTGAGAAACTGCTTGTAAAGTGAAAATTCATCTCACAGAGTTAAACCATTCTTTTAATTCAGCAGTTTTGAAACACAGTTTTTGTAGAATCTGCAAAGGGTTATTTCAGAGAGTATAGAGTCCTGTCGTGAAATAGGAGACATCTTCAGATAAAAACTAGAAAGAAGCTTTCTGAGAAACTGCTTTGTGGTGTGTGCATTCATCTCACAGAGCTAAACGTTTCTTTGGATTCAACAATTTGAAAACACTGTTTTTCTCCATTCTGTGAGTGGACATTTGGAAGTTGATTGATGTCAATGGTGAAAAATAGAATACCCCAGGGTAAACACTAGATGGAAGCTATCAGAGAAACTGCTTTGTGTTGTATGTATTCACTGTTAGAGTTAAAGCTTTCTTTTCAAACAGCAGTTGGGAAAATGTTTTTGTAGAATCTGCAAATTGATATTTCAGAGAGCATTGAGGACTATGGTGAAAAACAAAACATCTTCAGATAAAAACGAGAAAGAAACTTTCTGAGAAACTGCGTTGTGATGTGTGCATTCATCTCACAGAGTTAAACCTTTCTTTGGATTCAGCAGTTTTGCAACACTGTTTTTGTCCACTCAGAAAGAGGACATTTGGGGGTTCTTTGAGGCCAATGGTGAAAATGGAAATAACCCAGGATAAAAACTAGAAGGCAGCTATCTTAGAAACTGCTTTGTGATGTGTGCATTCATCTTACAGGGTTAAGCCTTCCTTTTCATTCAGCACTTTGGAAACACTGCTGTCATGGAATCTGCAAAGGGATACTTAGGAGAGCATTGAGGTTTATGGTGAAGTAGGAAACATCTTTACATAAAAACTAGAATGAAGCTTTCTGAGAAACTGATTTGTAATTTGTGCATTCATCTCACAGAGTTAAACATTTCTTTGCATTCAGCAGCTTTGAAACATGGTGTTTGTGAACTCAGCGAATGGACATTTGGGGGCGCCTTGAGACCAAATGTGAAAATGGGAATATCGAAGGATTAAAAACTACAAGGAAGATATCTGAGAAACAGCTTTGTGATATGTTCATTCATCTCACAGAGTTAAATTATTTTCATTCAGCAATTTGGAAACACGTTTTTTGTATAATCTGCAAAGGGATATTTCAGAGAGCATTGAGGTCTATGATAAAAAAGGAATCATATTCAGAGAAAAAGTAGAAAGAAGCTTTCTAAGAAACTGCTTTGTGCCGTGTGCATTCATCTCACAGAGTTAAAGCATTCTTTGGATTCAGTAGTTTGGAAATACAGTTTTTGTCTATTCTGTGAATGGACACTTTGGAGCTCTTTGGGTCCAATGGTGAAAAAGTGAAAATCCCTGAATAAAAACTAGAAGTCTATCTGAGAAACCGCTTTGTCCTGAGAGCATACATCTCACAGAGTTAAAGCATGCATTTTATTCAGCTGTTTGTAGTAGTATTTTTGTAGAATCTGCAAAGGGATATTTTGGAGAGCATTGAGGCTTATGGTGAAAAAGGAAACATCTTCAGTTAAAACCTAGAAAGAAGCTTTCTGAGAATCTGCCTTGTGATGTGTCCATTCATGTAACAGAGTTAAAACTTTCTTTGGATTCAGCAGTGGGGAAAATCTGTTTTTGTTCATTCTGTGAATGGACATATGGGAGCTCATTGAGGCCAATGGCAAAAAAGGAGATATGCCAGGATTAAAACTACAATGTAGCTCCCTGAGAAACTGCTTTGTGATGTCAGCATGCATTTCACAGAATTAAAACTTTCTTTTCATGCAGCAGTTAGGAATCACCATTTTTTGTAGAATCTGCAAAGGGTTATTTCAGAGAATATTGAGGCATATGGTGAAATAGGAAACATCTTCAGATAAAAACGAGAAAGAAGTTCTCTGAGAAACTGCTTTGTGATGTCTGCATTCATCTCACAGACTTAAAGCTTTCTTTGGATTCAGGAGTTTGGATACACAGTTTTTGTCCGTTCTGAGAATGGACATTTCAGAGCTCTTTGGTCCCAAAGGCTAAAAAGCAAATATCCCTGAATAAAAACTATAAGGAATCTATCTGAGAAACCTCTTTGTGGTGTGAGCATTCACTTAACGGAGTTAAATCATTCTTTTCATTCAGCTGTTTGAAGCAGCGTTTTCATGGAATCTGCAAAGTGATATTTCAGAGAGCGTTCAGGCCAGTGTTGAAAAAGGAAACATCTTCAGTTAAAAACTAGAAAGAAGGTTTCTGAGAAACTGCTTTGTGATGTGTTCATTCATTTCACAGACTTACCACTTTTTTTGGATTCAGTAGTTTGGAAACAGAGTTTTTGCCCATTCTGTGAATGGACATTTTGGAGCTCTTTGGAGCCAATGGTGAAAAAGCGAATACCCCTGAATAAAAACCAGAAGAAATCTATCTGAGAAACAGCTGTGTCATGTGAGCATTCATTTCAAAGAGTTAAACCATTCCTTTCATTCAGCTGTTTGGAAGCAGTGTTTTTGAAGAATTTGCAAAGGGATATTTCGGAGAGCATTGAGGCCTATGGTGAAAAAGGAAATATCTTCAGTTAAAAACTAGAAAGAAACTTTCTGAGATACTGTTTTCCGATGTGTGCATTCATCTCACAGAGTTAAACAATTCTTTTCATTCGTCAGTTTGGAAACACTCTTTTTGTAGAATCTGCAAAGTGATATTTCATATAGCAATGTGGCCTGTGATGAAACAGGAAACGTCTTCAGATAAAAACTAGAAAGAAGATTTCTGAGAATCTGGTTGGTTATGTGTGCATTTATCTCACAGAATTAAATATGTCTTTGGATTCAGTAGTTTGGAAATACAGTTTTTGTCCACTCTGCGAATGGACATTTTGGTGCTCTATGAAGCCAATGGCAAAAGAGTGAATATCCCAGGATAAAAAGTAGATGGAAGCTATCTGAGAAACTGCTATGTGATGTCCACATTCGTCTTGCAGAATTGAAACTTACTTTTCATTCTGCAGTTTGGAAACACTTTTTTGTCAAATCTGCAAAGAGATATTTTGGAGATCATTGAGGTCTATGGTGCAAAAGGAAACATCTTCAGATAAAATTAGAAAGAAGCTTTCTGGGAAACTGCTTTGTGATGTGTGGATTCAACTCACAGAGTTAAACCATCGTTTTCATTCAGAGTTTGGAAAAAGTATTTTTGTCCATTCTGCAAATGGACGTTTGGGAGGTCATAGTTGGTAAAGTTGAAAAAGCGAATATCCCAGGAAAAAACAAGAAGGTAGCTATCTGAGAAACAGCTTTGTGATGTGTGCATTCATCTCAAAGAGATAATACTTTCTTTTCATTCAGCATTTTTGAAAACTGTTTCTGTAGAGTCTGCAAAGGGATATTTTGGAGAGTATTGAAGAATATGGTAAAAGAGGAAACATTTTCAGATAAAAACTAGAAAGAAGCTTTCTGAGAAACTGCTCTGTGAGGTGTGCATTCATCTGAGAGAGTTACCTTTCTTTGGATTCAGTAGTTTGGAAAGACTGTTTTTGTCCCTTCCCTGAATGGATATTTGGGAGTTCATTGACGCCAATGGCAAAAAAGTGAATATCCCAGGGTAAAAACTTAAAGGAAGCTCTCTGAGAAACTTCTGTCTGATGTGTGAATTCATCTCACAGAGTTAAACTTTTGTTTCATTCAGCAATTTGTAAACACTGACCTTTAGAATCTGCAAGGGGATATTTTAAAGAGCATTTAGTCCAACATTGAAAAAGGAAACATCTTCCTATAAAAAGTAGAAAGAAAATTTCTGAGAAACTGCTTTGTGATGTGTGCATTCATCTCACAATGTTAACCATTTCTTTGGGTTTAGCAGTTTGGAAACACTCTTTTTTGTAGAATCTGCAAAGGGATACTTTGGAGAGTATGGTGAAATAGGAAATATCTCCAGATAAAAACTAGAAAGAATTTTTCTGAGAAACTTCTTTGTTATGTGTGGATTCATCTCAGAGTTAAACCTTTCTTTGAATTCAGAAGTTTGGAAACACTTGTTTTGTAGAATCTGCAAAGGGATATTTCAGAGAGCATTGAGGCCTATGGTGAAAAAGCATACACCTTCAGATACAAACTAGAAAGAAGCTTTCTAAGAAACTGCTTTGTGATGTGTGCATTTATCTCACAGAGTTAAACATTTCTTTGGATTCAGCAGTTGGGAAACACTATTTTTCTCCATTCTCCAAATGGACATTTGGGACCTCATTTAGGCCAATGGTGAAAAAGGGAATATCCCAGGATTCAAACTAGATGGTAGTTTGCTGTGGGACTGCTATGTGACGTGTGTATTCATCTCGCAGAGTTAATTCTTTCTGTTCATTGAGCAGTTTGAAAACACTGTTTTTGTAGAATCTGCAAAGGGATATTTCAGAGAGCATTGAGGCCTAAGGTGTAAAAGGAAACATTATCAGATAAAAACTAGGAAGAAAGTTTCTGAGAAAATGCTTTCTGATGTATGCATTCACCTCACAGACTTAAAACTTTCTTTGGATTCAGTAGTTTAGAAGCACCATTTTTGTCCATTCTGTGAATGGACATTTGGGAGCTCATTGAGGCCACTGGCAAAAAAAGGGAATATCCCAGGATAAAAACTAGATGGAGGCTCTTTGAGAAACCTCTTTGTGATGTGTGCATTCATTTCACAGAGTTAAATTTTTCCTTTCATCCAGCGGTTTGTAAACACTGTTTTTATAGAATCTGCAAAGGGATATTTTGGAGAGCATTGAGGCCTAGTGTGAAAAAAGAAATATCTTCAGATAAAAGCTAGAAAGAAGATATCTGAGAAGCTGCTTTGTGATGTTTGCATTCCTCTCATAGAGTTAAACCTTTCTTTGGATTCAGCTGTTTGGAAACACTATTTTCGTCCGCTACATTTGGGAGTTCATTTAGGCCAATGGGAAAAAAGTGAATATCCGAGGATAAAAAACCGATGGAAACTATCTGAGTTCTGCTATGTGATGGTTGAATTCATCTTGCAGAGTTAAAACATAGTTTTCATTCAGCAGTTTTGAAACACTTTCTTGTATAATCTAGAAAGGGAAATTTCCAAGAGCATTGAGGCCTATGGTGTAAAAGGGAACAACTTCAGATAAAAACTAGAAAGAAGCTTTCTGAATAACTGCTTCGTGACGTGTGCATTCCTCTCACAGAGTTAAACTTTTCCTTGGATTTTGCAGTTTCTAAAGATTATTTTTGTCCATTCAGTGAATGGAAATTTGGAAGTTCATAGAGGCCAAGGAGAAAATGTGAATATGCCAGGACCAAAACTAGACAGAAGCTATCTTAGAAACTTCTTTGTGATGTAGGCATTCATCTAGCAGAGTTAAACCTTTCATTCAGAAGTTTGGAAACACTGTTTTTGTAGAAACTGCAAAGGGATATTTCCGAGAGCATTGAGGCCTATGGTGGAAGAGGAAACATATTCAGATGAAAATTAGAAAGAAGGTTTCTTAGAAACTGCTTTTTGAGGTGTGTTTTCATCTCACAGAGTTAAACTTTCTTTAGATTCAACAGTTTGGAAACACTGCTTTTGTCCATTGTGCGAATGAACATTTGGGAGCTCATGGTGGCCAGTGATGAAAAAACGTATATCCCCAGATAAAACCTAGAAGGAGGTTATCTGGGAAAATGTTTTGTGATGTGTGCATTCATCTCACAGTGTTAAACCATTCTTTTAATTCAGCAGTTTGGAAACACTGTTTCTGTAGAATCTGCAAAGATGTATTTTGGAGGACAGTGAGACCTATGGTGAGAAAAGAAACACATTCAGATAAAAACTAGAAAGAAGATTTCTTTGAAACTTCTTTGTTATGTGTGCACTCATCTCACAGAGTTAAATATTTCTTTGTTTTCAGTAGTTTCAAAAGAGTGTTTTTGTCCATTCTGCAAATGGACTTTTGGGAGCTCATTCAGGTCAATGTGAAGAAGTGAATATCCAAGGATAAAAACTGGATGAAAGCTATCTGAGAAACTGCTATGTGATGCGTGCTTCCCTCTCACAGAGTTAAACCTTACTTTACACTAAGCAGTTTGGAAACACTGTTTTTGCCAATGTGCAAACAGATATTTCAGAGAGCATTGAGGCCTACAGTGAAAAAGAATCATCTTCAGATAAAATCTAGAAAGAAACTTTCTAAGAAACTGCTTTGTGATGTGTGCATTCATCTGAAAGAGTTAAACTTTCTTTCAGTTCAGCAGTTTGCAAACACTGTATTTGTCCATTGTGCAAATGGAAAGTTGGGAGCTCATTGAGTCCAATGGCAAAAAAGAAAATATACCAGGAAAAAAACAGGAAGGAAGCTATCTGAGAAACTGCTTTGTGATGTTTTCATTCATCTCACAGAGTTAAAACTTTCTTTGGATTCAGCCGTTTGGAAACACTGCTTTTGTCCATTCTTCAATGTACATTTATGAGCTCTAAGAAGTCAATGGTGATAAAGTGAATATCAGAGGATAAAAACTAGAAAGAACACATCTGAGAAATCACTTTGTGATGGGTACATTCATCTCAAAGAATTAAAACTTTCTTCTTGCTTTTCTAGTTCTTTTAACTGTGATGTTAGGGTGTCAATTTTGGATCTTTCCTGCTTTCTCTTGTGGGCATTTAGTGCTATAAATTTCCCTCTGCACACTGCTTTAAATGCGTTCCAGAGATTCTGTATGTTGTGTCTTTGTTCTCATTGGTTTCAAAGAACATCTTTATTTCTGCCTTCATTTAGTTATGTACCCAGTAGTCATTCAGGAGCAGGTTGTTCATTTTCCATGTAGTTGAGAGGTTTTGAGTGAGATTCTTAATCCTGAGTTCTAGTTTGATTGCACTGTGTTCTGAGAGATAGTTTGTTATAATTTCTGTTATTTTACATTTGCTGAGGAGATCTTTACTTCCAAGTATGTGATCAATTTTGGAATAGGTGTGGTGTGGTGCTGAAAAAAATGTATAATCTCTTGATTTGGGGTGGAGAGTTCTGTAGATGTCTATTAGGTCCGCTTGTTGCAGAGCTGAGTTCAATTCCTGGGTATACTTGTTGACTTTCTGTCTTGTCAATCTGTCTAATGTTGACAGTGGTGTGTTAAAGTCTCTTTCAAAAGCTAGCAGAAGGCAAGAAATAACTAAAATCAGAGCAGAACTGAAGGAAATAGAGATACAAAAAAACCCTTAAAAAACGAATCCAGGAGCTGGTTTTTTTAAAGGATCAACAAAATTGACAGACTGCTAGCAAGACTAATAAAGAAAAAAAGAGAGAAGAAGCAATAGGTGCAATAAAAATGATAAAGGGGATATCACCACCAATCCCACAGAAATACAAACTACCATCAGAGAATACTACAAACACCTCTATGCAAATAAACTAGAAAATCTAGAAGAAATGGATAAATTACTCGACACATACACTTTCCCAAGACTAAACCAGGAAGAAGTTGAGTCTCTGAATAGACCAATAGCAGGAGCTGAAATTGTGGCAATAATCAATAGCTTACCACCGAAAAAGAGTCCAGGACCAGATGGATTCACAGCAGAATTCTACCGGAGGTACAAGGAGGAACTGGTACCATTCCTTCTGAAATTATTCCAATCAATAGAAAAAGAGGGAATCCTCCCTAACTCAGTTTATGAGGCCAGCATCATCCTGACACCAAAGGCTGGCAGAGACACAACAAAAAAAGAGAATTTTAGACCAATATCCTTGATGAACATTGATGCAAAAATCCTCAATAAAATACTGGCAAACTGAATCAAGCAGCACATCATAAAGCTTATCCACCATGGTCAAGTGGGCTTCATCCCTGGGATGCAAGGCTGGTTCAATATACACAAATCAGTAAATGTAATCCAGCATATAAACAGAACCAAAGACAAAAACCACATGATTATCTCAATAGATGCAGAAAAGGCCTCTGACAAAATTCAACAACGCTTCATGCTAAAAACTCTCAATAAATTAGGTATTGATGGGACATATCTGAAAATAATAAAAGCTATCTATGACAAGCCCACAGCCAATATCATACTGAATGGGCAAAAATTGGAAGCATTCCCTTTGAAAACTGCACAAGACAGGGATGCCTTCTTTCACCACTCCTATTCAACATAATGTTGGAAGTTCTGGCCAGGGCAATTAGGCAGGAGAAGGAAAGGAAGGCTATTCAATTAGGAAAAGAGGAAGTCAAATTGTCCCTGCTTGCAAATGACATGATTGTATATCTAGAAAACCCCGTTGTCTCAGCGCAAAATCTCCTTAAGCTGATAAGCAACTCCAGCAAAGTCTCAGGATACAAAATCAATGTACAAAAATCACAAGCATTCTCATACACCAACAACAGACAAACAGAGAGCCAAATCATGAGTGAACTCCCATTC
Organism: Homo sapiens; assembly: GCF_000001405.40. NCBI lineage: Eukaryota > Metazoa > Chordata > Mammalia > Primates > Hominidae > Homo > Homo sapiens. The sequence goes on from NW_011332694.1 coordinate 247,862, forward strand.
ACAATTGCTTCAAAGAGAAAAAAATACCTAGGAATCCAACTTACAAGGGATGTGAAGGACCTCTTCAAGGAGAACTACAAACCACTGCTCAAGGAAATAAAAGAGGATACAAACAAATGGAAGAACATTCCAAGCTCATGGGTAGGAAGAATCAATATCGTGAAAATGGCCATACTGCCCAAGGTAATTTACAGATTCAGTGCCATCCCCATCAAGCTACCAATGCCTTTCTTCACAGAATTGGAAAAAAAACTACTTTAAAGTTCACATGGAACCAAAAAAGAGCCCACATCGTCAAGTCAATCCTGAGCCAAAAGAACAAAGCTGGAGGCATCACACTACCTGACTTCAAACTATACTACAAGGCTACAGCAACCAAAACAGCATGGTACTGGTACCAAAACAGAGATACAGATCAATGGAACAGAACACAACCCTCAGAAATAACGCCGCATATCTACAACTATCTGATGTTTGACAAACCTGAGAAAAACAAGCAATGGGGAAAGGATCCCTTATTTAATAAATGGTGCTGGGAAAACTGGCTAGCCATATGTAGAAAGCTGAAACTGGATCCCTGCCTTACACCTTATACAAAAAATAATTCAAGATGGATTAAAGACTTAAACATTAGACTGAAAGCCATAAAAACCCTAGAAGAAAACCTAGGCATTACCATTCAGGACACAGGCATGAGCAAGACTTCATGTTTAAAACACCAAAAGCAATGGCAACAAAAGCCAAAATTGACAAATGGGATCTAATTAAACTAAAGAGCTTCTGCACAGCAAAAGAAACTACCATCAGAATGAACAGGCAACCCACAAAGTGGGAGAAAATTTTCACAACCTACTCATCTGCCAAAGGGCTAATATCCAGAATCTACAATGATCTCAAACAAATTTACAAGATAAAACCAAACAACCCCATCAGAAAGTGGGTGAAGGACATGAACAGACACTTCTCAAAAGAAGACATTTATGCAGCCAAAAAAGACGTGAGAAAATGCTCACCATCACTGGCCATCAGAGAAATGCAAATCAAAACCACAATGAGATACCATCTCACACCAGTTAGAATGGCGATCATTAAAAAGTCAGGAAACAACAGGTGCTGGAGAGGATGTGGAGAAAAAGGAATACTTTTACACTGTTGGTGGGACAGTAAACTAGTCCAACCATTATGGAAGTCAGTGTGGCCATTCCTCAGGGATCTAGAACTAGAATTACCATTTGACCCAGCCATCCCATTACCGGGTATATACCCAAAGGTTTATAAATCATTCTGCTATAAAGGCACATGCACATGTATGTTTACTGTGGCACTATTCACAATAGCAAAGACTTGGAACCCACCCAAATGTCCAACAATGATAGACTGGATTAAGAATATGTGGCAATATACACCATGGAATACTATGCAGCCATAAAAAATGATGAGTTCATGTCCCTTGTAGGCACATGGATGAAACTGGAAATCACCATTCTCAGTAAACTATCACAAGAACAAAAAACCAAACACTGCATATTCTCACTCATAGGTGTGAATTCAACAATGAGAACACATGGACACAGGAAGGGGAACATCACACTCTGGGGACTGTTGTGGGGTGGGGGGAGGGGGGAGGGATAGCATTGGGAGATAAACCTAATGCTCGATGACGAGTTAGTGGGTGCAGCGCACCAGCATGGCACATGTATACGTATGTAACTAACCTGCACATTGTGCACATGTACCCTAAAACTTAAAGTATAATAATATTAAAAAGAACAAAAAAAAAACTTTCTTTAGATTCAGTTTGGAAAAACTGTTTTTATCCATTCTGTGAATGTATATTTGGGAGCTTATTGAGGCCAATGGCAAAAAAGCGAATGTCCCAGGATAAAAACTAGAAGGAAGCTATCTGAGAAACCGCTTTGTGATGTGTGCTTTCATCTCACAGAGTTAAAACTTTCTTTTCATTCAGAAGTTTGGAAACACTGTTTTTGTAGAATCGGCAAAGGGATATTTTGGACATCATTGAGACATATGTTGCAATAGGAAACAGCTTCAGACGAAAACTAGAGAGAAGCTTTCTGAGAAACTGCTTTGTGATGTGCGCATTCATATCACAGACTTAAACTTTTCTTTGGATTCAGTAGTTGGAAATACTTTTTCTGTCCATTCTGTAAATGGAAATTTGGGATCTCAATGCGGCCAATGTTGAAAAAGCTGATATGCCAGGATAAATACTAGAAGGAAGCTATCTGAGAAATTGCTACATGATGTATGCATTCATCTCACAGAGTTAAAGCAAGCTTTTCACACAGCAGTTTGGAAACACTCTTTTTGTTGAATCTGCAAGGGACTTTACAGAGAGCATTGAGCCCTGTGGTGAAATTGGAACCACCTTCAGGTGAAAACAGGAAGGGAGCTTTCAGAGAAACTATTTTATGTTGTGTGCATTCACATCACAGAGTTAAACCTTTCCTTAGATTCAGTAGTTTGCAAAGAGTGCTTTCGTTGATTATTTAAGTGGGCATTTGGGAGCTCATTGAGGCCAATGGCGAAAAACTGAATATCCCAGGATAAAAACTAGGTGGAAGCTAGCTGAGAAACTGCAATAGTTGGGTGCATTCATCTCACAGAGTTAAACCTTTCTTTTCATTCAGCAGTTTGGAAACACTATTTTTGTAGTATCAGCAAAGAATATTTTGGAAAACATTGAGGCCTATGGTGAAATAGGAAACATCTTCATATAAAAACTGGAAAGAAGCTTTCTTACAAACTGCTTTGTGGTGTCTCCATTCATCTCACAGAGTTAATACTTTCTTTGGATTCAACTATTTGGAGACACTGTTTTTGCAGAATGTGCAAAGTGATATATCAGAGAGTATTGAGGCCTATGTCATAAAAGGAAACATCTTTAGAGAAACACTAGAAAGGAGCTTTCTGAGAAACTGTTTTGTGGTGTGTGCATTAATCTCAAAGGCTTTATCCTTTCTTTGGGTTCCGTAGTTTGGAAACGTTGTTTTTTTCCATTCACGGAGTCATCATTTCAGAGCACCTTGAGGCCAAAGTTGAAAAAGTGAATATCCCAGGATAAAAACCAGAAGGAAGCTATCTGAGAAACCGCATTGTGATGTGTGCATTCATCTCACAGAGTTATAGTTTTCTTTCCATCCAGCAATTTGGAAACACTTTTTTTGTCCATTCTGTGAATGGACATTTTGTAGCTCCTTGAGGCCAATGGCAAAAAAGCAAATATCCCAGGATAAAAACTAAACAGAAGCTTTCTGAGAAACTGCGATGTGATGTGTGTATTCATCTTGCAGAGTTCAACCCCTTTTTTCTTTCATCAAGTTTGAAACATTGTTTTTGTAGAATCTGTATAGGGATATTTTGGGGAGAACTGAGGCCTATTTTCAAAAAGGAAAATATCTTCAAATAAAAATTAGAAAGAAGCTTTCTGAGAAACTGCTTTGTGATGTGTGCATTCATCTCACATAGTTAAACCTTTCTTTGGATTTAGCCATTTGAAAACACTGTTTTTGTTCATTCTGGGAATGGACATTTTGGAGCTCATTGAGGCCAATGGTGAAAAAGCAAATATCAAAGGATAAAAACAGGAAGGAAGCTATCTCAGAAGCCACATTTTTATGTGTGCATTCATCTCACAGAGTTAAAACTTTCTTTTCATTCAGCAGTTTGTAAACACTGTTTTTGTAGAATCCACAAAGGGATATTTTGGATAACATTGAGGGCTATGGTGAACTAGGAAACATCTTCAGATAAAAACTAGAAGGAAGCTTTCTGAGAAACTGCTTTGTGATGTGTGGATTCATCTCACAGAGTTAAACCATTCTTTGGATTCAGAAGTTTGGAAACTGTTTTTGCCCATTCTGTGAATGTATATTTGGGAGCTCATTGAGGCCAATGGCGATAAAGTGAATATCCCAGTTTAAAAACGAGAAGGAAGCATCTGAGAAACTGCTATATGATGTGTGCATTTTCCTATCAGAGTTAAACTTATCTTTCATTCAGAAGTTTGGAAACACTGTGTTCATAGAATGTGCAAAGGGATATTTCAGAGAGCATTGGGGAATATGGTGAAAAATTCAAACATCTTCAGATAAAAACTAGAAAGAAGCTTTCTGAGAAACTGCTTCATGATTTCTGCATTCATTCATCTCACTGCGAAAAAACTTTGTTTGGATTCAGCAGTTTGGAAACACTTTTTTTGCCCATTCTGCAAAAGGATACTTGGGAGCTCATTGAGGCCAATGGTGGAAAAGCAGATATCCCAGGATAAAAATTTGAAGGAAGCTATCTGAGATACTGCTTTGGGATGTGTGCATTCATCTCAACGTGTTAAAACTGTGTTTTCCTTCAGCAGTTTGGAAACACTGTTTTTGTCCATTGTGCAAATGGATATTAAGATGCTCATTGAGGCCAAAGGGGAAAAAGCTAGTATCCCGGGATAAAAATTAGACAGAAGCTATCTGAGAAGTTGGTATGCGATGAGGGCATTCATCTAGCAGAGTTAAACCTTTCTTTTCATTCAGCAGTTTGGAGGCACTGTTTTTGTAGAATCTGCAAAGGGCTATTTGAGAGAGCATTGAGGCCTATGGTGAATAAGGAAACATCTTCAGATGAAAATTAGAAAGAAGCTTTCTGAGAAATGGCTTTATGATGTGTGCTTTCATCTCAGACAGGTAAAACTTTCTTTGGATTCAGCAGTTTGGAGGCATTATTTTTGGAGAATCTGCAAAATGATATTTCAGAGAACCTTGAGGCCTATGGTGAAAAAGGAAACATCTTCAGAAGAAAACTAGAAAGAAGCTTTCTGAGAAATGGCTTTGTGATGTTTGCATTCATCTCACAAAATTAAAACCTTCTTTGGATTCTGTAGTTTTAAAACACTGTTTTTATCCATTCTGCGAATGAACATGTGGGAGCTCATTGAGGTCAGTGGCGAAAAAGTTGAATATCTCAGGAGGTAAACGAGAAGTAAGCTATCTGAGAAACTGCTACGTGATGTGTGCATTCATATTGCAGAGTTAAAACTTTCTTTTCATTCAGCAGTTTGGAAACACTGCTTTTGTGGAATCTAAAAAGTGATATTTTGGAGAGCATTGAGACCTTTGGTGAAAAAGGATACATCTTCAGACAAAAACTAGAAAAATCTTTCTGAGAAACTGCTTTGTGATGTTAGCATTCATCCCACAGAGTTAAACCTTTCTTTGGATTCAGCAGTTTGGAAACACTGTTTTTGTCTATTCTGCAAATGGACATTAGGGAATTCATAGAGGCCAATGGCGAAAAAGGAAATATCCAAGGATAAAAATTAGATGGAAGCAATCTGAGAAACAGTTACATGATGTGTGCATTCATCTCATAGAGATAAACCTCCCTTTTCATTCGGCAGTTTGGAAACACTGTTTTTGTAGAATCTGCAGAGGATATTTTGGAGACCATTGAGGCCTATGATGAAAAAGGAAACATATTCAGATAAAAACCAAAAAGAAATATTCTGAGACACTGCTTTGTGATTTGTGCATACATGTCACTGACTTGTACCTTTCTTTGGATTCAGTAGTTGGGAAAGAGTGTTTTTGTCCATTCTGCAAATGGACATTTGGGAGTTCATTTTGGGAAATGGTGAAAAAGCGAATATCCCAGGATAAAAACTAGACAGAAGCTATCTGAGAAATTGCTATGTGAAGTGTGCATTCATCTCTCAGAATTAAACCTTCCTGTTATTCAGCAGTTTGGAAACCCTGTTTTTGTAGAATCTGCAGGGGGATTTTTCAGAGATCCTTGAGGCCTATGGTGAAAAAGGAAACATATTCAGCTAAATACTAGAAAGAAGCTTTCTGAAAAATTGCTTTTTGATTTGTTCATACATCTCATAGGGTTAAACTATTCTTTGGATTCAGCAGTTTGGAAAAACTGTTTTTGTCCATTCTTCAAATGGACATTTGGGAGCTCCTTGAGGCCAATTGTGAAAAAGCAAATAACCTAGGACAAAAAGTTGATGGAAACTATCTCAGAAATGGATTTGAGATGTGTGCATTCATCTCACAGGGTTAAACCTTTCTTTTCATTCAGCAGTTTTGAAACACTGTTTTTGTAGGATCTCGGAAGGGTATTTCAGGGAGCATTGAGGCTTATAGTGAAAAAGGATGCATATTCAGATTAAAACTAGAAAGAAGCTTTCTGAAAAATGGCTTTGTGATATGTGCATTCATCTCACAGTGGTAAAACTTTCTTTAGATTCAGTAGTTTGGAAACATTGTTTTTGTAGAATCTGCAAAGGGATATTTTGGAGATCATTGAAGCCTATGATGAAAAAGCAAACATCTTCAGAAAAATACTAGAAAGAAGCTTATGTGGAAAGTGCTTTGTGATGTGTGCGTTCATATCCAGACTTAAACATTTCTTTGGATTCAGTAGTTTGGCAACACTGTTTTTGTCCATTCTGTGAATGGATATTTGGGAGCTCATTGAGGCCAATGGCGAAAAAGGAAATATCCCAAGATAAAAACTAGAAAGAAATTATCTGAGAAATTGCTTTGTGATGTGTTCATTCATCTCACAGAGTTAAACCTTTGTTTTCATTCAACAGTTTCAAAACTCTGATTTAGTGGAATCTGTGAAGGGCTCTTTGGGATCGTGTTGAGGCCTATGGTGAAAAAGGAAACATTTTCAGATAAAAACAAGAAAGAAGCATTTTGAGAAACTGTTTTGTGATATTTGCATTCATCCCACAGTGTTAAACTTTTTTTTTTTCTTTGAGCAGTTTGGAAATACTGTTTTTGTAGGATCTGCTAAGGGGTAAATTTGAGTGCCCTAAGGCAAATGGTGAAAAAGGAATTTTCTTCCGATAAAAATTAAACAGAAGGTTTCAGAGAAACTGCTTTGTGATGTGTACATTCATTTACTGAGTTAAACATTTCTTTGGAATCAGCCATTTGGAAATACGGTTTTGTCCATTCTGCAAATGGACGTTTGGGAGCTCATTGATTCCAATGTCAAGAAATCTGCAAAGGGATATTTCACACAGCATTGAGGCCTATGGTGAAAAAGGAAACATATTCAGTTAAAAACTACAAAGAAGTTTTCAGAGAAACTGCTTTGTTATGTGTGCATTCATCTCACAGAGTTAAAACTTTCTTTGGATTCAGAAGTTTGGAAAGAGTATTCTGAAGAATCTTCAAAGGGGTATTTTAGAGAGCAGTCAGGCCTACAGTGGAAACAGAAACACCTTCATTTAAAAAGTAGAAAGAAGCTTTCTGAGAACTTGCTTTGGGATATATGCATTCATCTCCCAGACTTAAACATTTATTTGGATTCCTCAGTTTGGAAACACTATTTTTGTCCATTCTACAAATGGACCTTTTGTGGCTCTTTGAGGCCAATGGCAAAAAAATAGAATATCCTAGGATAAAAACTAGAAGGAAACTATCTGAGAAACTTCTTGGTGATGTGTGCATTCATCTCACAGAGTTAAACCTTTCTTTGGACTCAACAGTTTGCAACGAGTGTTTTTTTTCCATTCTACAAATGGACATTTTGGAGCTTATTGAGTACAATGGTGAAAAAGCGAATATCCCAGGATAAAATCTAGGCAGACATTATCTAAGAAACTATTACGTGATGTGTACATTCATCTCACAGAGTTAAAACTTTCTTTACTTTCTACAGTTTTGAAACACGTTTTTGTAGAATCTGCAAAGGGATATTTCCTAGTGCATTGAGACATATGGTGAAAAAGGAAACATCTTCAGATAAAAACTAGAAAGAAGCTTTCTGAGAAACTGCTTTGTGATGTGAGCATTCATCTCACAGAGTTAGAATTTTCTTTGGATTCAGTAGTTTGGAAAGAGTGTTTTTGTTCATTCTGCAAATGGATATTGGAGTCCTCATTGAGGCCAATGGGGAAAAAGTGAAAATCCCAGGTAAAATCTAGACGGAAACTATATGAGAAACTGCTATGGATGTGTGCATTCACCTCAGACAGTGAAGCCATTCTTTTCATTCAGCAGTTTGGAAACACAGTTTTTGTAGAATCTGCAAAGGGATATTTCAGAGAGCATTTAGGCCTATGCTGAAAAAGGAAAAATGTTCAGTAAAAATCAGAAAGAAGATTTCTGAGAAACTGTTTTGGATGTTTGCGTTCATCTCACAGAGTTAAACATTTCTTTGGATTCAGTAGTTTGGAAAAAGTGTTTTTGTCCATTCTATGAATGGACATTTGAAAGCTCATTGAGGCCAAAGGCAAAAAAGTGAGCATCCCGTGATAACCACTAGATGGAAGCTATCTGTGAAAGTGCTATGTAATGTGTTCATTCATCTTGCACAGTTAAACCTTTCTTTTCATTCCTCATTTTGGAAACACTGCTTTTGTAGAATCTGCAAAGGGATATTTCAGAGATCAATGAGGCCTATGGTGAAAATGGAAACATCTTCAGGTAAATACTAGAAAGAAGCATTCTGAGAAACTGCTTTGTGATGTGTGCATTCATCTTACAGAGTTGAACCTTTCTTTGGATTCAGCAGTTTGGAAACACTGTTTTTGTCCATTCTGTGAATGGACATTTTGAGCACATTGAAGCCAACGGGGAAAAAGTGAATATTCCAGGATACAAAGCAGATGGAATCTATCTGATAAACTACTACATGATGTGGGCATTCATCTCACTGAGTTAAACCATTGATTTAATTTAACAGTTTGGAAACACGGTTTTTGTAGAATCTGTAAGGGGACATTTCAAAGCGCCTTGAGGCCTATAGTGAAAAAGGAAACATCTTCAGATAAAAAATAGAAATAAGTTTTCTGAGAAGCTGCTTTGTGTTGAGAGCATTCATCTTACAGAATTCAACCTTCCTTTGGATTCAGCAGTTTCAAAACTCTGTTTTTGTAGAATCTGAAAGGGTATATTTTGGAGAGCACTGATGCCTATGGTGAAAAAGGAAGTATCTTCAGAAAAAAAACTAGGAAGATTTCTGAGAAAATGCTTTGTGATGTGTGCATACATCTCACAGACTTAAAAAACTTTCTTTGGATTCAGTAGTTCAGAAAGAGTGTTTTTGTCCATTCTGCCAATGGACATTTGGAAGCTCATTGAGGTCAATGGCAAAAAAGAGAATATCCCAGGTTAAAATCTAGAAGGAAGATACCTGAGAAACTGCTATGTGATGTGTGAATTCATCTCACAGAGTTAAACCATCCTTTTCATTCACCAGTGTGGGAACACTGCTTTTGTAGAATATGCAAAGGGAAACTTCAGAGAGCATGGAGGCATATGGTGAAAAAAAGGAAACGTGTTCAGTAAAAATTAGTAAGAGGATTTAGGAGAAGCTGCTGTGGAAGTTTGCATTCGTCTTACAGAATTAAACAGTTATTTGAATTCACTAGTTAAGAAACAGTGTTTTTTTCCATTCTGTGAATGCTCATTTTGGGGCTCATTGAGGCCAATGGCAAAAAAGTGAATATCCCAGGATAAAAATTAGACTGAAGGTATCTGAGAAAGTACTTTGTGATGTGTGAATTCATCACACAGATTTAAACCTGTCTTCAGGTTCAATAGTTTGGAAACACATTTTTGTCCATTCTGCAAATGGACATTTTGGAGCTCATTAGGCCAATGGTGAAAAAGTTAATATCCCAGGATAAAAACTATAAGGAAGCTATCTGAGAAACCAATTTGTGATGTGTGCATTCATCTCACAGAGTTAAACCTTTATTTTCATTCAGCAATTTGGCAAGTCTGTTTTTTTAGAAACTGCATAGGGATATTTCGCAGATCATTGAAGCCTAAGGTAAAAAAGGAAACACCTTCAGATGAAAACAAGAAAGAAGCTTTCTGAGAAACTGCTTTGTGATGTGCACATTCATCCCACAGAGATGACTTTGGATTCAGGAATTTGGATAGAGTGTTTTGTCCATTCTGCGAATGGACATTTTGGACCTCATTGTGGCCAATAATGGAATACTGAATATCCCAGGATAAAAACTAGACAGAAGCTATCTGAGAAACTACTATGCGATGTGTGCATTTATCCCACAGAGTTAAACTTTTTTTCATTCAGACATTTAGAAACACTGTTTTTGTAGAATCTGCAAAGTGATATTTGGAGAGCATTGAGGCCTACGGTGTAAAAGGTTACATCTTGAGAAAAAAACTAGAAAGAAATTTTCTTAGAAACTTATTTGTGATGTGTGCATTTGTCTCACAGACTTAAAACTTTCTTTGCATTCAGTAGTTTGGAAAGACTGTTTTTTCCATTCCGTGAATGGACATGTGGGAGCTTTTTGAGACCAATGTGGAAAATCAAATATCCCATGATAAAAACCAGATGGAAGCTATCTGAGAAACCGCTATGTGATGTATGCATTCCTCTCACAGAGTTAAACCTTTCCTTTCATTGAGCAGTTTTTAAACACAGTTTTGGTAGAATCTGTAAAGGGATATTTTGGAGAGAATTGAGGCTCATGGTGAAAAAGGAAACATCTTCAGGTAAACACTTGAAAGAAGCTTTCAGAGAAACTGCTTTGTGATGTGTGCATTCATCTCACAGAGTTTAACCTTTCTTTGCATTCAGCAGTTTGGAAATGCTGTTTTTGTAGAATCTGAAGAGGGATATTTCCAAAATCACTGAGGCCTATGGTGAAAAAGGAAACATCTTCAGACAAAAACCAGAAAGCAGCTATCAGAGAAAATGCTTAGTGATGTGCGCATTCATCTCACAGAGGTAAAACTTTCTTTGGATTCAGCAGTTTGGAAACACTGCTTTGTAGAATCTGAAAAGGGATATTTCAAAGAGCATTAAGGCCCATGGTGGAAAAGGAAACTTCTTCAGATAAAAACTAGAAAGAAGCTTTTGGAGAAACCGCTTTCTGAAGTGTGCATTCATCTCACAGACTTAAATATTCCTTTCCATTCAGCAGTGTGTAAACACTTTTTTTTAACAATATTATTGCAATTTTAAAATACTGCAAAGCAATATTTCAGAGAGCATTGAGGCCTATGGTAAAAAAGGAAACATCTTCAGATAAAAACTAGAAAGAAGCTTTCTGAGAAACTGCTTTGTGATGCATGCATTCATCTCACAGAGTCAAACCTTTCTTTGGATTCCAGAGTTTCGAAATGGGGTTTTTGTCCATACTGAGAATGGACATTTGCGAGCTCATTAAGGCCAATGGTGAAAAAGTGAACATCCCAGGATAAAAACTAGAAGGAAGCTAACTGAGAAACAGCTTTTGATGTGTGCATTCATCTCAATTTATACATTTCTTTTCATTCAGCAGTTTGGAACCACTGTTTTTATGTAATCTGTAAAGGGATATTTTGGAGAACATTGTGAACTATGGTATAAAAAAGAAATATTATCAGATAAAAACTAAAAAGCAGCTTTCTCAGAAACTACTTTGTGATGTGTGCATTCATCTCACAGACACAAACCATTCTTTGGATTTAGCAATTTGGAAACTGTTTTTATGCAGAGTTTGCAAAGGGATATTTCAGAGACCCTTGAGACCTATGGTAAAAAGGAAACATCCTAAGATAAAAACTAGAAGTAAGCTTTCTGAGAAACTGCGTTGTGATGTGTGCATTTATCTCACAGAGCAAATTTTTCTTTGGATTCTGAGAATGGACATTTTTTAGCTCATTGAGGTCAATGGCAAAAAAGCAAATATCACAGCAGAATAACTAGAAAGAAGCTATGTGAGAAACTGCTGTGTGATGTGGGCATTCATCTTGAAGAGTTAAACCTTTCTCTTCATTCAGCAATTTAAAAACTCTATTTTTGTAGAATCTGCAAAAGGATATTTTGGAGAGCATTGAGGCCTTCAGTGAAATAGGAAACATCTTAAAATGAAAACCAGAAAAAAACTTTCTGAGAACCTGCTTTGTTATGTGTGCATTCTTCTCAGAGATTTAAAAACATCCTTTGCATTAAGTAGTTTGGAAAGAGTGTTTTTGTCCATTCTGTGAATGGACACTTGGGAGTTCATGGGGCCAATGATGAAAAAGCAAATATCCCAGGATAAAAACCAGAAGGAGGCTATCTGAGAAGCCAGTTTTTGATGTGTGTATTCATCTCACAGAGTTAAACCTTTCTTTTCATTCCGAACTTTGGAAACACTGTTTTTGTAGAATATGCAAAGGGATATTTAGGAGAGCATTGAGCCCTATGGTGAAATAGGAATCACGTTCAGATATAAACTGGAAAGAAGCTGTGAGAAACTGCTTTGTGGTGTTGGCATTCATCTCACAGAGTTAAACCTTTCTTTATATTCAGTAGTTGGGAAAGAGTGTTTTTGTCCATTCTACGAATGGACATGTGGGAGCTCATTGGGAACAGTGGTGAAAAAGAGAATATCCCAGGATAAAAGCAGAGTGAAGATCTCTGAGAAACTGTTATATGATGTTTGCATTCATCTCACAGAGTTAAACCATTCTTTTCATTCAGCAGCTTGAAAACACTGTTTTTGTAGAATCAGTAAATTGATGTATGGGAGAGCATTCAGGCCTAAGGTGAAGAAGGAAACATCTTCAGATAAAAACTAGAAAGAAATTTTCTGAAAACTGCTTTGTAATGTGCGCATTCACCTCACAGAGTTAAAGCTTTCTTTGGATTCAGCAGTTTGGAAACAGTTTTTGTCCATTCTGCAAATGGATATTTGGGAGCTCATTGAAGCCAATGGCAAAAAAGTGAATTACCCTACGATAAAAACTAGAAGTAAGGTATCTGATAAACTGCTTTGTGATTTTGTGCGTTCATCTCACAGAGATAAGCCTTTCTTTTCATTCAACAGTTTGGAATTACTGTTTCTGTAGAATCTGCGAAGGGATATTTGGGAGTGCATTGAGACCTATGGTGAAAAAGGAAACATCTTTAGAATAAAAGTAGAAAGAATCTTTCTGAGAAACTGCTTTGTGATGTGTGCATTTATCTCACAGTTAAACTGTTCTGTGGGTTCAGCAGTTTTGCAGCACTGTTTTTATAGAATCTGCAATGGGATATTTCAGAGAGCATTGAGGCCAATGGTGAAAAAGAAAACATCTTCAGATAAAAACTAGAAAGAAGCTTTCTGAGAAATTTTTGTGATGTCTGCCTTCAGCTTACACAAGTAAACCTTTCTTTGGATTCAGCAGTTTTGAAATACTGTGTTTGTCGATTCTGCCAGTGGACATTTCAGAGCTCATTGAGGCCAATGACCAGAAAGCAAATATCCCAGGATAAAAACTAGAAGGAAGTTATCTGAGAAACAGTTATGTGATGGGTGCATACATCTTGTAGAGTTAAACCTTTCTTTTCATTCAGCAGTTTGGAAGCACTGTTTTTGTACAATATGCAAAGGGATACTTTGGAGAGCATTGAGGTCTATGGTAAAAAATTAAACATCTTCAGAAAAAAACTATCAAGAAACTTTCTGAGAAACTGCTTTGTGATGTGTGATTTCATCTCACAGACTCAAAACTTTCTTTGAATTTAGTAGTTTGGAAACACTGTTTTTCTTCATTCTGTGGAAGGACTTTTGGGACCTCATTGAGGCCAATGGTGAAAAATTGAATAGACCAGGTGAAAAACTGGAAGGAAGCTATCTGAGAAACAGTTGTGTGATGTGTGCATTCATCTCACAGAGTTAAACCTTTCTTTTCATTCAGCAGTTTGCAAACACTGTTTTTATAGAATCTGGAAAGGGATATTTCGGAGATCATTGAGGCCTACGTTGAAATAGGAAACATCTTCAGATAAAATTTAGAAATAAGTCTTTTGAAAAACTGCTTTGTGACGTGTGTGTTCATCTCACAGGGTTAAAACTTTGTTTGAATTCAGCAGTTTGGAGACACTCTTTTACTCCATTCTGCAAAAGTACACTTTTCTCATTTAGCCAATGGTGAAAAAGTGAATTACCCTAGGATAAAAACTAAAAGTTAGCTATCTGAGAAATGTCTTTGCGATTTGTGCATTCATCTAGCAGAATTAATCCATTCTTTTCCTTCAGCCATTTGGAGACAGTGTTTTTGCAGGATCTGCGAAGGGGTATCTGGGAGTGCATTGAGACCTATGGAGAAAAAGGAAACGTCTTCATATAAAAACTAAAAAGAAGCCTTCTGAGAAACGGATTTGTGATGAGTTCATTCATCTTACAGAACTAAACCTTACTTATCATTCAGCAGTTTTGAAACACTGTTTTTTTGTAAAAACTGCAAAGGGATATTTTGGAGACTATTGTGGCCTATACTGAAAAAGGCTTAAGTTAAAAAAGGAATCATCTTCAGATAAAAACTAGAAAGAAACTTTCAGAGAAACTGCTTTGTGATGTGTGCATTCATCTCACAGAGATAAACTATTCATTGGATTCAGCAATTTTGAAACAAAGGTTTTGTCTATTCTGGGAATGGGCATTTGGGAGCTAATTTATGCCAATGGTGAGAAAGCAAATATCCTAGGACAAAACTAGAAGGAAGCCATCTGAGAAACAGCTATGTGATGTGTGCATTCATCTCACAGAGGTAAAACTTTCTTTTCATTCAGCTCTTTGGAAATTCTGTTTTTGTAGAATCTGTGAAGGGACATTTCAGAGAGCATTGAGACCTATGGTGAAAAAGGAAACATCTTCAGATAAAAACTAGAAAGAAACTTGCTAAGAAACTACTTTTTGATGTGTGCATTCATCTCACACAAATAAACCTTCCTTTGGATTCAGTGGTTTGGCAAAATTTTTTGTCGATTTTGTGAATGGACATTTGGGAGCTCTTTAAGGCCAATGGCTAAAATTTGAATATCCAGGGATAAAGCTAGAAGGAAGCGATCTGAGAAACAGCTTTGCAATGTAGGCATTCATTTCACAGAGTTAAACCTTTCCTTTCACTGAGCAGTTTGGAAACACTGTTTTTGTAGAATCTGAAAAGGGATGTTTCAGAGAGAATTGAGGCCTAGGGTGAAAAAGGAATCCTATTCAGAAAGAAACTAGAAAGAAATTTTATGAGAAACTGCTTTGTGATGTGTGCATCCACCTCGCAGATTTAAACCTTGCTTTGGATTCAGCAATTTGGAAACACTTTTTTTAATTATTATACTTTAAGTTTTAGGGTACATGTGCACAACATGCAGGTTTTTTACATATGTATACATGTGCCATGCTGTTGTACGGCACCCATTAACTCGTCATTTAACATTAGGTATATCTTCTAAAGCTATCTCCTCTCACCAAACCCTGCAACAGGCCCTGGTGTGTGATGTTCCCCTTACTGTGTCCATGTGTTCCCATTGTTCAATTCCTACCTATGAGTGAGAACATGCAGTGTTTGGTTTTTTGTTCTTGTGATAGTTTGCTGAGAATGAAGGTTTCCAGCTTCACCCATGTCCCTACAAAGAAATGAACTCATCATTTTTATGGCTGCATAGTATTCCATGGTGCATATGTGCCACATTTTCTTAATCCAGTCTGTCATTGTTGGACATTTGGGTTAGTTCCAAGTCTTTGCTCTTGTGAATAGTGCCACAGTAAACATATGTGTGCCTGTTACTTTATAGTAGCATGATTTATATAGTTCGTTTTACATTCTGGATATAGTCCTTTTTCAGATGAGGAGATTGCAATAATTTTCTCCCATTCTGTAGGTTGCCTGTTCACGCTGATGGTAGATTCTTTTGCTGTGCAGAAGCTCTTTAGTTTAATTAGATCCCATTTGTCAATTTTAGCTTTTGTTGTCATTGCTTTTGGTGTTTTAGACATGAAGTCCTTGCCCATGCCTATGTACTGAAGGGCATTGCCTGGCTTTTCTTCTAGGGTTTTTATGGCTTTAGCTCCAACATTTAAGTCTTTAATTCATCTTGCATTAATTTTTGTGTGAGGTATAAGGAAGGGATCCAGTTTCAGCTTCCTACATATGGCTAGCCAGTTTTGCCAGCACCATTTATTAAATAGGGAATTTTTTCCCCATTTCTTCTTTTGGTCAGATGTGTTAAAGATCAGATAGTTGTAGATACGTGATATTATTTCTGAGGGCTCTTTTCTGTTCCATTGATCTATATCTATCTCTGTTTTAGTCCCAGTACCATGCTGTTTTGGTTACTGTAGCCTTGTAGTATAGTTTGAAGTCAGGTAACATGATGCCTCCAGATTTTTTCTTTTGGCTTAGGATTGACTTAACAATGCAGAATCTTTTTTGGTTCCATATGAACTTTAAAGTAGTTTTTTCCAATTCTGTGAAGAAAGTCATTGGTAGCTTGATGGAGAAGGCATTGAATCTATAAATTACCTTGGGCAGTATGTCCATTTTCAAGACATTGATTCTTCTCATCCATGATCATGGAATGTTCTTCCATTGAATGACTACTGGGTACATAATGAAATGAAGACAGAAATAAAGATGTTCTTTGAAGCCAACGAGATCAAAGACACAACATACCAGAACCTCTGGGACACATTCAAAGCAGTGTGTAGAGGGAAACTTATAGCACTGAATGCCCAGAAGAGAAAGTAGCAAATATCTAAAATTGACACCCTAACATTGCAATAAAAAGAACTAGAGAAGCAAGAGCAAACACATTCAAAAGCTAGCAGAAAGCAAGAAATAACTAAGATCAGAGCAGAACTGAAGGAAATAGAGACACAAAAAACCCTTCAAAAAATCAATGAATCCAGGAGCTTGTTTTTTGAGAAGATCAACAATATTGATAGACTGCTAGCAAGACTTATAAAGAAAAAAAGAGAGAAGAATCAAATAGACACAATAAAAAATGATAAAGGGGTATCACCACTGATCCCACAGAAATACAAACTACCATCAGAGAATACTATAAACATCTCTAAACAGATAAACTGGAAAATCTAGAAGACATGGATAAATTCCTCGACACATACACCAACCCAAGACTAAACCAGGAAGAAGTTGAATCTCTTAACAGACTAATAACATGCTCTGAAATTGAGACAATAATTAACAGCTTACCACAAAAAAAGTCCAGGAGCAGCTGGATTCACTGCCGAATTCTACCAGAGGTACAAGGAGAGCCGGTACCATTCCTTCTGAAAGTATTCCAATCAATAGAAAAAGAGGGA
The DNA here is from genome assembly GCF_000001405.40 of Homo sapiens. Taxonomy (NCBI): domain Eukaryota; kingdom Metazoa; phylum Chordata; class Mammalia; order Primates; family Hominidae; genus Homo; species Homo sapiens. Next base: position 264,927 of record NW_011332694.1, read on the forward strand.
ATCCGGCCGGGCGCGGTGGCTCATGCCTGTAATCCCAGCACTTTGGGAGGCCGAGACGGGCGGATCACGAGGTCAGGAGATCGAGACCATCCTGGCTAACACGGTGAAACCCCGTCTCTACTAAAAATACAAAAATTAGCCGGGCATGGTGGCGCGTGCCTGTAGTCCCAGCTACACGGGAGGCTGAGGCAGGAGAATGGCGTGAACCCGGGAGGCGGAGCTTGCAGTGAGTCGAGATCGCGCCACTGCACTCCAGCCTGGGCGACAGAGCGAAACTCCGTCTCAAAAAAAAAAAAAAAAAAAAAAAAAAAAAAAAAAAAGAAAAAGAGGGAATCCTCCCTAACTGATTTTATGAGGTCAGCGTCACCCTGATACCAAAGTCTGGCAGAGACACAATAAAAAAAAGAGAATTTTAGACCAATATCCTTGATGAATATTGATGCAAAAATCCTCAATAAAATACTGGCAAACCAAATTGAGCAGCACAGCAACAAGTTTATCCACCATGATCAAGTGGGCTTCATCCCTGGGATGCAAGGCTGGTTCAACATATGCAAATCAATAAAGGTAATCCAGCATATAAACAGAACCGATGACAAAAACCAAATGATTATCTCAATTGATGCAGAAAAGGCCTTTGACAAAATTCAACAGCACTTCATGCTAAAAACTCTCAATAAATTAGGTGTTGATGGGACGTATCTCAAAATAATAAGAGCTATTTATGACAAGTCCACCGCCAATATCACACTGAATGGGCAAAAACTGGAAGCATTCCCTTTGAAAACTGGCAAAAGACAGGGATGCCCTCTCTCACCACTTCCACATAGTGTTGGAATTTCTGGCCAGGGCAATCAGGCAGGAGAAGGGAATAAATGGTATTCAGTTAGGAAAAGAGGAAGTCCAATTGTCCCCGTTTGCAGATGACATAATTGTATATCTAGAAAAGCCCATCATCTCAGCCCAAAATCTCCTCAAGCTCATAAGCAACTTCAGCTAAGTCTCAGGATACAAAATTAATGTGCAAAAATCATAAGCATTTGGATACACCAATAACAGACAAACAGAGAGCCAAATCATGAGTGAACTCCCATTCACAATTGCTTCAAAGAGAATAAAATACCTAGGAATCCAACTTACAAAGACATGAAGGACCTCTTCAAGGACAACTAAAACCAGTGCTCAATGAAATAAAAGCGGTTTCTCAGACAGCTTCCTTCTAGTTTTTATCCTCGGATATTCTCATTTTTGCCATTGGCCTCAATGAGCTCCCAGATATCCATTCTCAGAATGGACAGAAATAGTGTTTTCAAACTGTTGAAGCCAAAGAAAGGTTGAACTCTGTGACATGAATGGACACATCACAAAGCAGTTTCTCAGAAAGTTTGTTTCCTGTTTTTAAGTAAAGTTGTTTCCTTTTTCATCATAGGCCTCAATTTGCTAGGAAATATCCCTTTGTAGATTCATCAAAAACTGTTTTTCCAAACTGCTGAATGAAAAGAAGGTTTTAACTCCACGAGATGAAAGCACACATCACAAAGCGGTTTCTCAGACAGCTTCCTTCTAGTTTTCATCCTGGGACACTGTTTTTTCACCATTGGCCTCTAAGAGCTCTAAAATGTCCTTCATAGAAAAGGCAAAACAGTGCTTTCAAACTTCTGAATCCAAAGAAAGGATTACCAATGTCAGATGAAAGCACTCATCTCAAACCAGTTTCTTAGAAAGCTTATTTCTAATTTTCATTTGAAGATATTTCTTTTTTCACCACAAGCCTCAGTGCACTTCCAAATAGCCCTTCACAGATTCTACAAAAAACACGTTTCAAAAACTGCTGAATGAAAAGAATGGTTTAACTTTGTGAGATGAATGCACACATCACAAAGCATTTTCTCAGAGCTATTTCTCCTAGTTTTTATCCTCGCATATTCACTTTTTCACCATTGTCCTCAATGAGATCCCAAATGTCCACTCGCAGAATGGACAAAAAAAGTGTTTCCAAACTGCTGAATCCAAAGAAAACTTTAACTCTGTGAGATGAATGCACACATCAAAAAGCACTTCCCCAGAAACCTTCCTTCTAGTGTCAATCTGAAGATGTTTCTTTTTTCACCATAGGCCTCAAAGCTCTCAGAAATGTCCCTTTGCAGGTTCTACAAAAACACAGTTTCCAAACTACTCTATGAAAATAAAGCGTTAACTCTGCAAGTTGAATGCATGCATCACAAAGCAGTTTCTAAGATAGCTTCCTTCTAGTTTTATCCTGGGATAGTCCATTTTTCGCCATTAGCCTGAAGGAGCTCCCAAATATCCATTTGCAGAGAGGACAAAACCGTGTTTCCAAACTGCTGAATGAAAAGAAAGATTTCACTCTGTGAGATGAATGCACACATCACAAAGCAGTTCATTATAAAGCTTCTTTCTACTTTTTATCTGAAGATGTTTCCTTTTTCACCATGGGCCTCAAAATGCTCCCAAAAATCCCCTCACAGATTCTTCCAAAACAGTGTTTCCCAACTGCTGAAATAAAAGAAAGGTTTTACTCTCTGTGATGAAAGCACACATCCCAAAGCGGTTTCTCAGATAGCTTCCTTCTAGTTTTTATCCTTGGATATATGCTTTTTCACAATTTTCCTCATTGAGCTCCCATATGTCCATTCGCAGAATAGACAAAAACAGTGATTCAGGACTGCTGAATCAAAAGCTAGTTATAAGTCTCTGTGATGAATGCACATATCACAAAGCAGTTTCTCATAAATCTTCTTCCTAGTTTTTATCTGAAGATGTTTCCTTTTACACCATAGGCCTGAATGCACTCCAAAATATCCCTTCACAGATAATACAAAAACATTGTTTCAAAACTGCTGAGTGAAAAAAAAGATTTCACTTTGCGAGATGAATGCACACATCAAAAATCAATTTCTCAGATAGCTTCCTTCTAGTATTTATGACGTGATATTCCCATTTTTGCCATTAGCCTCAATGAGCACCCAAATGTCCATTTGCATATTGGACATCAACAGTGTTTCCAAGCTGCTGAATCCAAATAAAGTTTTCATTCTGTGGGATGAATGCACACATCATAAAGCAGTTTCACAGAAAACTTCTTTTAGTTTTTATTGGAAGATGTTTCTTTTTCACCATAGGCCTCCATGCGCTCCCAAATATCTGTTCACACATTCTTCAAAAACAGTGTTTCCAAACTGCTGAATGAAAAGAAACGTGAGTTGAACACACATCACAAGGGGTTTCTCAGATAGCTTCCTTCTAGTTTTTATCCTGGGATATTCACTTTTTTGTGATTGGCCTCAATGAGCTTAAAAATGACTACTTGCAGAATGGACAAAAACAGTGTTTCCAAGCTGCTGAATGAAAATAAAGGTTGAAGTCTACGAGATGAATGCACAGATCACAAAGCAGTTTCTCAGATAGCTTCCTTCTAGTTTTTATCCTGGGATATATGCTGTTTCACCATTTTCCTCATTGAGTTCCAAAATGTCCATGCGCAGAATAGACAAAAGCAGTGTTTCCAAACTGCTGAATCAAAAGAAAGTTAAAACTCTGTGAGATGAATGCACACATCACAAAGCAGTTTCTCAGAGAGCATCCTTCTAGTTTTTATCCTGGAATATGCACTTTTTCACCATTGGCCTCAATGAGCTCCCAAATGTCCATTTGTTGAATGGACAAAACCAGTGTTTCCGAACTGTTGTATTGAAGGAAATCTTTAACTCTTTGAGATGAATGCAAACATAGCAAAGCAGTTACTCAGAAAGTTTCTTTCTAGTTTTTATCTGAATTTGTTTCCTTTTTTACCATAGACGTCAATGTGCTCTCAAATATCCATTCGCAGATATTACAAAGTCAGTGTTTCCAAAATGCTGCATGAAAACAAAATTTTAACTCTGTAATGCGAATGCACACATCACAAAGCTCTTTCTCTGATAGCATTCTTCTGGTTGTTCTCTAGGATATTTGCTTTTTCACTGTTGGCCTCAGTGAGCTCCTAAGGGTCCTTTTGCAGAATAGACAAAAACAGTGTTTCCAAACTGCTGAATCCAAAGAAACATTTAACTGTGAGATAAATGCACACATCACAAAGCAGTTTCTCAGAAAACTTCTTTCAGTTTTTATCTGAAGTTGTTTCTTTTTCACCATAGGCCTCAATGTGCTCTCAAATATCACTTTCCAGATTCTACAAAAACAGTGTTTCCCAACTGCTGAATGAAAATAAATTTTAACTTTACGAGGTGAATGCAAACATCACTAAGCCGTTTCTCAGAGAGCTTCTTTCTAGTTTTTATCCTGGGATATTTGCTTTTTTGCCATTGGCCTCAATGAGCTCCCAAGGTTCCATTCGCAGAATGGACAAAAACAGTGTTTCCAAACTGCCGAATCCAAAAAAACATTTAAGTGTCAGATGAATGCACACCTCACAATGCAATTTCTCAGACAGATTCTTTCTAGTTTTTATCTGAAGATGTTTTCTTTTTCACCATAGGCCTCAATGAACTCCCAAGTATCCCTTTGCAGATTCTAAAAAATCAGGGTTTCCAAACTGTTGAATGAAAAGGAAGTTTAACCCTGCAAGATAAATGCACATACCACAAAACAGTTTCTCAGATAACTTCCTTCTAGTTGTTATCCTGGGATATTTGCATTTTCACCTTGGCCTCAATGAGCTCCCAAATGTCCATTAATAGACAACAACAATGTTTCCAAACTGCTGAATGCAAAGATATGTTTAACTGTGAGATGAATGCAAACATCACAAAACAGTTTCTCAGAAAGTTATTTTGTAGTTTTCATCCAAAGATGTTTCCTTTCTCACCATAGGCCTCAGTGAGCCCTAAAATATCCCGTTGCAGATTCTACAAAAACGGTGTTTCCAAACTGCTGAATGAAAAGACAGCTTTAACTCCATGAGACAAATGCACACATCACAAAGCAGTTTCTCAGATAGCTTCCTTCTTGTGTTCATTCTGGGATATTCAGTTTATTGCCATTGGCCTCAATGAACGCCAAAATGTCCATTCACAGAATGGACAAAAACAGTGTTTCCAAAACTGCTGAATGCAAAGAAAGTTTTACCTCTTTGAGATGAAAGCACACATCACAAAGCAGGTTCTTAGAAAGCTTCTTTCTAGTTTTTAACTGGAAGATATATCCTTTTTCACCACTGGCATCAATGCACTGCTAAATATCCCTTAGCAGATACTACAAAAACAGTGTTTCCAAGCTGCTTAATTAAAAGAAAGGTTTAACTATGTGAGATGAATGCACACATCACAAAGCGGTTTCTCAGATATCTTCCTTCTATTTTTATCCTGGGATATTCACTCTTTCACCAGTGGCCTCAAAGAGCTCCCAAATGTCCATTTGCAGAATGGACAAAAACAGTGTTTCCTAACTGCTGAGTCCAAACAATGCTTTAACTCTGATAGATGAATGCATACATCACAAAGCAGTTTTTCAGAAAGCTTCTTTCTTGTTTTTATCTGAAGATGTTTCCTTTTTAACCATACGCTTCAATAGGCTCCCAAATATCCCTTCACAGATTCTACAAAAACAGTGTGTCCAAACTGCTGAATGAAAAGAAATGTGGAACTCTGAGAGACGAATGCACACATCAGAAAGCAGTTTCTTGGAAAGCTTCTTTCTTGTTTTTATATGAAGATGTTTTCTTCTTAACCATAGGCTTCAATTGGCTCCCAAATATCCCTTTGCAGATTCTACAAAAAACAGCATTCCCAAACTGCTGAATAAAAATAAAGGTTTTACTCTGTGAGATGAATAAACACATTCCAAAGCGGTTTTCACGTGGCATCCTTCTAGTTTTTATCCTGGGATATTTGCTTATTCACCCATGGCCTCAATGAACTCACAAATGTCCATTTGCAGAAAGGACAAAAAGTGTTTGCAAACTGGTGAATCCAAAGAAAGGTTTAAAACTGTGAGATGAATGTGTACATCACAAAGCAGTTTCTCAGAAAGCCTCTTTCTAGTTTTTACTGAAGATTTTTCCATTTTTACCATAGACATCAATTTACTCACAAATATCCCTTCAGAGATTCTACAAAATCAGTTTTTTCAAATTGCTGATTGAAAAGAAAGGTTTAACTCTGCGACGTGATGGACCCATAAAAAAAGCAGTTTCTCTAATAACTTCGTTCCAGTTTTTACCCTAGGATATTCACTTTTTTGCCTTTTGCCTTAATGAGCTCCCAAGTGTCCATTCATGGAATGGACAAAAAGTGTTTCCAAGCTGCTGAATCCAAAGAAAGCTTTAACACTCTGAGATGACTGCACACATCAGAAAGGGGTTTCTTAGAAAGCTTCTTTCTGGTTTTTAGCTGAAGATGTTTCCTTTTTCACCATAGGCCTCAAAGTGTTCCCAAATATTCCTTCCAGATTCCTCAAAAAGCCTTTTACAAACTGCTGAGTGAAAAGAGAGGTTTAACTCTGTGAGATGAATGCCCATATCAAAAAGCAGTTTCTCAGATAACTTCCTTCTAATTGTTATCCTGGGATATTTGCATTTTTCCATCAGCCTCAAGAAGCTCCCAAATGTCCATTAATGAACAAAAACAATCTTTACAAACTGCTGAATCCAAAGAAAGGTTTAACTGTTAGGAGAATACAGACATCACAAAGCAGTTTCTCAGAAAGCTTCTTTCTAGTTTTTACCTGAAGATGTTTCCTTTTTCACCATTGGCCTCAATGTGCTCCCAAATAACCCTTCGTGATTCTACAAAAATGGTATTTTCAAACTGCTGAATGAAAAGACTGCTTTAACTCCGTGAGATGAATGCACACATCACAAAGCAGTTTCTCAGATAGCTTCCTTCTTGTGTTCATTCTTGGATATTCACTTTTTTGCCTTTGGTCTCCATGACCTCCAAAATGTCCATTCACAGAATGGACAAAAACAGCATTTCCAAATTGCTGAATGCAAAGAAAGGTTTAACTCTGTGACATGAATGCACACATCACAAAGCAGGTTCTCATAAAGCTTCTTTCTAGTTTTTATCTAAAGATGTTTACTATTTCACCATACGTATCAATGCGCTCCTAAATATCCCTTCGCAGATACCACAAAAATAATGTTCCCAAACTGCTGAATGAAAATAAATCTTTAACACTGCAATGTGAATGCACACATAAAAAAGTGGATTCTCAGATAGCTTCCTTCTAGTTTTTATCCTGGGATATTTGCTTTTTTGCCATTGGCTTCAAAGTACTCCCAAATGTCCATTTGAAGAATGGACAAAAACAGTGTTTCTGAACTGCTGAATAAAAAAGAAAGTTTTAAATCTGTGGATAAATGCGCACATCAAAAAGCAGTTTCTCTGAAAGATTTTTTTCTAGTTTTTATCTGAAGATGTTTCCTTTTTCACCAAAGGCCTCATAGTGCATCCAAATATTCCTTCAGAGATTCTGCAAAAAAAGGGTTTTCAAGGTGCTGAATGAAAAGAAAGGTTAAACTCTGCTAGTTGAATGCACAAATCGCAAAGCACTTTCACAGATAGCTTCCTTTGAGTTTTTATTCCGGGATACTCGCTTTTCCACCATTGGCCTCAAGGAGCTCCAAAATGTCCAGTTGCAGAATGGACAAAAAATTGTTTCCAAAGTGCTGAATGAAAAGAAATGTTAAACTCTGCGAGGTGAATGCATGCATCACAAATCAGCTTCTCACATAGCTTGCTTCTAGTTTTTATCCTGGGATATTCGTTTTTTTGCAATTGGCCTCAATGAGCTGCCAAATTTCCATTAATTGACAAAAAAAAGTGTTTCCACACATCTGAATACAAAGCAATGTTTAACTCTGTGAGATGAATGCACTCATCACCAAACAGTTCCTCAGAAACCTTCTTTCTAGATTATATCTGAGGATGTTTCCTTTTTTACCATACTACCCTAGGCACTCCCAAATATACCTTCACAGATTATACAAAATCAGGGTTTCCAAACTGCTGAATGAAAGAAAAGTTTATCTCTGCGAGGTGAATGCACACATCACAAAGCAGTTTCTCATATAGCTTCCTTCTTGTTTTTTTTTTTCTTCCTGGGATATTCGCTTTTTGTAATTGGGGTCAATGAGCTCTGAAATGTCCATTCACGGAATGGACAAAATCAGTGTTTCCAAACTGCTGAATCCAAAGAAAGGTTTAACTCTGTGAGATGAATTCACACATCACAAAATAGTTTCTCAGAAAGCTTCTTTCTCTGATTTATCTGAAGATGTTTCCTTTTTCAACATAGGTCTCAATTCACTCCCAAATATCCTTTCAGAGATTCTAAAAAATCAGTGTTTCCAAACTTCTGAATGAAAAGAAAGTTTTAACTCTGTGATGTGAATGCACACATCACAAAGTGGTTTCTCTGGTAGCTTCCTTCAAGTTTTTATCCTAGGATATTTGCTTTTTCGCCATAGGCCTCAATGAGTTCCCAAGTGTCCATTTGCAGAATGGACAAAAGCAGGATTTCCAAGCTGTTGAATCCAAAGAAACTTTTAAGTGTGAAATGAATGCTCACATCACAAATCAATTTTTTGGAAATCTTCTTTCAGGTTTTTATCTGAAGGTGTTTCCTTTTTCACCCTAGGCCTCAATGCACCCCCAATTTTTCCTTCGCAGATTCTACAAAAACAGGGCTTCCAAACTGTTGAATGAAAATAAAGGTTTACCTCTGTGAAATGAATGCACACATGACAAAACGGATTCTCATATTCCTTTCTTCTAGTATTTACCTGGGATATTCACTTTTTTGCCTTAGGCCTCAAATACCTCCAAATTGTCCATTTGCAGAGTGGACAAAAACAGTGTTTTCAGACTGTTAAATGGAAAGAAATGTTTAACTCTGTGAGATGAATGAACACATCACAAAGCAGTATCTCTTAAAGCTTCTTTCTAATTATTATCTGATGATATTTCCTTTTTCACCATAGGCATCAATGTACTCCTAAATATCCCTTCACAGATACTGCAAAACAGTCTTTCTAAACTGCTGAATGAAAAGAAAGTTTTAACTATGTGAGATGAATGCACACATCACAAAGTGGTTTCTAAGAGAGCTTCCTTCTAGTTTTTATTCTGGTATATTAGCTTTTTCGCCATTAGCCTCTATGAGCTCCCAAATATCCATTTGCAGAATGGACAAAAATAGTGTTTCTGAATGGCTGAATGAAAACAAATGTTTAAGTCTGCGAGATTACTGCACACATCACATATGGTTTCTCTGATAGCTTCCTACTAGTTTTTATTTTGGGATATTGTATTTTTTTGCCATTGGCATCCATGAGCTCCCAAATGTCCATTGGCAGTATGGACAAAACCGTGTTTCCAAACTTCTAAATCCAAAGAACAGTTTAACTTTGTGAGATGAATGCACACTTCACAATGCAGTTTCTCAGAAATCTTTTTTCTAGTTTTTATCTGAAGATGTTCCCTTTTCACCATAGGCATAAATGCACTCCAAAATATCTCTTCACAATTCTACAAAAACAGTGTTTCCAAACTGCTGAATGAAAAAAAAAAGGTTTAACTTTGCCAGATGAATGCACACACCCAAAGCAGTTTCCCGGAGATCTTCTTTATAGTTTTAATCCAGGTATATTCCTGTTTTTGCCATTGGTCTCAATGGGCTCCCAAATATCCATCCGTGGAATTTATACAAAGAGTTTTTCCCAAATGCTGAATCAAAAGAAAGGTTTAACTCTGTGAGATGAATGCACACATCACAAAGCCGTTTCTCAGAATGCTTCTTTCTAGTTTTTATCTGAAGATGTTTACTTTTTCACCACAGGACTCAAAGCTGTACCAAATATCCTTTTTCAGATTCTACAAAAACATTGTTTCCAAACTGCTTAATGAGAAGAAAGGTTTACCTCTGTGACATGAACACACACATCACAAAGAGTTTTCTCAGAACATTTCCTTCTAGTTTTTATCCTGAGATTTTCGCTTTTTCACCATTGGCCTCAATGAGCTCCCAAACCTCCATTCGCTGAATGGACCAAAAAACCCTGTCCAAACTGCTGAATCCAAAGAAAGTTTGAACTCTGTGAGCTGAATGAACACATAACAAAGCAGTTTCTCTGAAGTATTATTTCTAGTTTTTATCTGAATATATTTCCTTTTTCACCATAGGCCTCAATGTGCTCCCAATATCCCTTTGCAGATTCTCAAAAAACTGTTTCCATACTGGTGAATGAATAGAAGGATTAAACTCTGCGAGGTGAATACACTCATCAGATAGTGGTTTCTTAGGTAGCTTCCTTCTGGTTTTTATCATGGGGCATGCTCTTTTTTGCCATTGTCCTCAAAGACCTCCCAATTGTCCATTTGCTGAATGGACCAAAAAAGTGTTTACAAACTGCTGAATGAAAATAAAATTTTAGCTCTGCAAAATGAATGCACATATCTGAAAGCAGTTTCTTAAAAATCTTCTTTCCATTTTTTGTCATAAGATTTTTTTTCAACATAGACCTCAAAGTCCTCCAAAATATCCCTTCACAGATTCCGCAAAAACAGTTTCCAAACTTATGAATTAAAAGAATGGTTTAATTCTGTTAGATGAATGCTGACATCACAAAGAGGTTTCTCAGAGACCTTCTTTCTAGTTTTTACTTGAATATATTTCTTTTTATCAACAGATACCTCAATGTGCTCGCAATATCCATTTGCACATTCTACAAAAACAGTGCTTCCAAACCTCAGAATGAAGAGAAAATTTTAACTCTCTGAGATCAATGCACACATCACAAAGCGGATTCTCAGAAAGCTTCCTTTTAATTTTTATCCTGGGATATTTGCTTTTTTGAATTGGCCTCAATGAGCTCCCAAATTTCCATTTGCAGAATGGAAAAAACAGTATTTCCAAACTGCTGAATCCAAAGAAAGTTTTAATGCTGTGAGATGAATGCACGCTTCACAATGCAGTTTCTCAGAAATCTTCTTTCTAGTTTTTATCTAAGGATGTTTTCTTTTTCTCCATAGGACTCAGTGTGTTCCCAAATATCCCTTTTTGTATTCTACAAAAAGAGCATTTTCAAAGTGCTGAATGAAAAGAAAAATTTAACTCCTCAAGATAAATGCATACATCACAAAATGTCTTCTCAGATAGTTTCCTTGTAGTTTTTGTGGTGGGATATACACTTTTTTGCCATTGGCCTCAAAGATTTCACAAATGTCCATTCACAGAATGGACAAAAAGAGTGGTTCCAAACTGCTGAAACAAAAGAAAAGTTTAACTCTGTGACATGCATGCACACATCTTAAACCAGTTTCTTAGAAAGCTTCTTTCCAGTTTTTATCTTAATATGTTTCCTTCTTCACAAGTGGCCCCAATTCACTCCCAAATATCCCTTCACAGATTTTACAAAAACCGTGTTTCCAAACTGCTGAATGAAAAGAAAGGTGGAACTTTGTGAGATAAATGCACACATCACAAAGCAGTTTCCCAGAAACCTTCTTTCTCGTTTTAAATCCTGTGATATACGCGTTTTTGCCATTGGCCTCCATGGGCTCCCAAATGTCCATGCTCAGAATGGAGAAAAACAGTGTTTACAAACTGCTGAATCAAAGGAAAGGTTTTATTCTCTGAGATGGATGCACACTTCTCAAAGCACGTTCTCAGAAAGCTTCTTTCTCCTTTTTATCTGAAGCTACTTCCTTTTCACCAGAGGCCTCAATATGCTCCCAAATATCCCTTCGCAGATTGTACAAAAACAGTGTTTCCAAACTGCTGAATAAATGCAAAAGTTTAATTCTGCAAGTTCAATGCACACACCACAAAGCCATTTCTCAGATAGCTTCCTTCTAGTTTTTATCTTGGAATTTTCACTTCTTCACCACTGACCTCAATGATTTCCCAAATATCCCTTCACAGATTCTACAATAACAGTGTTTCCAAACTGCTGAATGAATAGGAAGGTTTAACTCTGAGAGATCAATGCATATATCAGAAAGCCGTTTCTCAGATACCTTCCTTCTAGTTTTAATCCTGGGATATTCCCTTTGTCACCAATGGCCTCAAGGAGCTCCAAAATATCAATTTGAAGATTCTACAAAAACAGTGTTACCAAACTGCTGAAATAAAAAAACGTTTAAATGTGCAAGTTGAATGCACACATTACAAAGCAGTTTTTTGGAAAGCTTTTTTCTAGTTTTTATATGAAGATATTTCCTTTTTCACCATAGGCCTCCATGTGCTCCAAAATATCCCTCCGCAGACTCTACAAAACAGTGTTTCCAAACTGCTGAAAGAAAAGAAAGGTTAACTCTGCTACATAAATTCACAGATCTAAAAGCGGTTTGTCAGGTAGGTTCCCTCTAGTTTTTATCCTGGGATATTAGCTTTTTTGCCACTGGCCACAATGAGGTCTGAAAAGTACATTCACAGAATGGACAAAAACGTTGTTTCCAAACTGCTGAATCAAAAGAAACGTTTAACTTTGGAGATTAAAGCACACATCACAAAGCAGTTTCTCAGAAAGAGTCATTCTAATTTTTATCTGAAGATATTTCCTTTTTCAACATAGGCCTCAAAGTGCTCCCAAATAGCCCTTCAAAGATTCTACAAAAATCGTGTTTCCAAACTGCTGAATGAATAGAAAGTTTAACTCTGTGAGAGGAAGGCACTCTTCACAAAGCGGTTTCTCAGATAGCTTCCATCTAGTTTTTATCTTGGAATGTTAGCTTCTTTGCCTTTGGTCTCAAAGAGCTACCAAATGTCCATTCACAGAATGAACAAAAACAGTGTTTCCAAACTGCTTAATAAAAAGAAGGGCTTAAATCTGTGAGATGACTCCACACATAATAAAGCAGTTTCTCATAAAACTTCTTCCTTGTTTTTATCTGAAGATATTTCCTTTTTCACTCTAAGCCTCAATGTGCTCCAAAATATCACTTCGTAGATTCTACAAAACCAGTTTTTCCAAACTTCTGAACGAAAAGAAAGGTTTAACTCTGTGAGATGAATACACACATCAAAAAGCGGTTTCTCAGATAGCTTCCTTTTACTTTTTATCCTGGGATATACACTTTTTTGCCGTTGGACTCAAAGATTTCACAAATGTCCATTTGCAGGATGGACATAAACAGCGTTTCCAAACTGCTGAATCAAAAGAAAGATTTAATTCTAGGACATGCATGCACAAAACTTCAAGCAGTTTCTTAGAAAGCTTCTTTCTAGTTTTTATCTTAATATGTTTCTGTTTTCACCAGTGGCCTCAATGGGCTCCTACATACCCCTTTGCAGATCTTACAAAAACAGTGTTTCCAAACTGCTGAATGAAAAGAAAGGTGGAACTCGGCGAGATGAATGCACACATGACAAAGCAGTTTCCCAGAAAGATTCTTTCTAGTTTTTATCCTGTGATATTGGCTTTTTCACCTTTGGCCTCAATGAGTTCCCAAATGTCCATTCACAGAATGGGCAAAAAAGGTGTTTACAAACTGTGGAATTAAAAGAAAAGGGTTATTCTCTGAGATGAATACACACATCTCAAAGCAGTTTCTGAGAAAGCTTCTTTCTCCTTATTATCTGAAGATATTTCCTTTTTCACGAGAGGTCTCAACACGTTCCCAAATATCCCTTCACAGACTGTACAAAAACAGTGTTTCCAAAATGCTGAATAAAAGCAAAGGTTTAATTCTGTGAGTTCAATACATACATCACAAAGCGGTTTCTCAGATAGCTTCCCTCTAGTTTCTATCCTGGAATTTTTGCTTTGTCACCACTCACCTCAATGGGCACCCAAATATCCCTTGGCAGATTCTACAAAAACAGTGTTTCCAAACTGCTGAATGAATAGGAAAGTTTAACTCTGCGAGATCAATGCACTCATCAGAAAGCCAGTTCTCAGCTAGCTTTCTTCTAGCTTTTTATCCTTGGATACTCACTTTCTCGCCAATGGCTTCAGGGAGCTCCCAAAAATCAATTTGAAGATTCTACAAAAACAGTGTTTGCAAACTGCTGAATGAAGAGAACGTTTTATTCTCTGAGATGAATGCACACATCTCAAAGCAGTTTCTCAGAAAGCTTCTTTCTCCTTTTTATCTGAAGATATTTCCTTTTCATCATAGGCTTTAATATGGTCCCAAATATCCCTTTGCAGATTCTACAAAAAGAGTGTTTCCAAACTGCTGAATAAAAAGAAAGGTTTAACTCTCTGAGATGACTGCACACATCACAAAGCAGTTTCTCAGATAGCTTCCTTCTAGTTTTTATCCTAGTATATTCACTTTTTCACCATTGGCCTCAATGATCTCCCAAATGTCCATTCACAGACTGGGCAAAAGCAGTGTTTCCCAACTGCTGAATAAAAAGAATGGTTTAACTCTGTGAGTTGAATGCACACATCACAAAGCAGTTTCTCAGAAATCTCCTTCCTAGTTTTTATATGAAGATGTTTCCTTTTTCACCATAGGCCTCAATGCGCTCCGAAATATCCCTATGTAGATTCTATAAAAACAGTGTTTCCAAACTGCTGAATGAAAAGAAATGTTTAACTCTGCATGATCAATGCACACATCACAAATCAGTTGCTGAGACCAGATCCTTCGAGTGGACCCTAACCCAGTTGCACTGGAGGAATTAAAGACACATACAGAGAAATATAGAGGTGTGAAGTGGGAAATCAGTTGTCTCACAGCCTTCAGAGCTGAGAGCACTGAACACTGAATTACCCACATACTTATTAACTCTTAGCCAGTCATCAGCATTGTTTCTATAGTCATTCGATTAACTAAAAGTGTTTCTTATGGGAAATGAAGGGATGGGCTGAAATATAGGGTTGGATCTGGTTAGCCATCTGCAGCAGTAACCTGCCCTTAAATCACAGATCACTCATGCTATTGTTTGTGGTTCAAGAATGTCTTTAAGCTGTTTTCTGCCATGGGCTGGCCAGGTGTTCCTTGCCCTCATTCCGGTAAACCCACAACTTTCCAGCGTGGGCGTCATGGCCAACATGAACATGTCACAGTGTTGCGGAGATTTTGTTTATGGCCAGTTTTTTGCTAGTTTATGGCCGGATTTTTTGGGGTCTTGTTCCCAGCATGTCCCCCTTCTTTGATTTGCAAATCGATAAAAGCAAAGGCAGCTTTGTCATGGTGAGCTACTTCTCACATGAATCAGGATCTGCATCTGCAGACTATACAAAGACAAACAACATAGATTAAAATCACAATCATCATTGAAATCACAGAGCTCCCAAATGTTTTTTATCCATTTTAATGGGCTCCTAGCTGATCATTTTTCTGCAGTTCCTTCAAGCACTCCAGTTCCTGGCATTAAGGTCAGGTGTGACTGGGATGCCTT
This sequence comes from Homo sapiens, assembly GCF_000001405.40. Lineage (NCBI taxonomy): Eukaryota > Metazoa > Chordata > Mammalia > Primates > Hominidae > Homo > Homo sapiens. Next base: position 280,245 of record NW_011332694.1, read on the forward strand.
AATTATTTTTCTTTTAATTTTGCAATATCCAAAAACAAGTTTGTAGAGTGTCCTTCTAGATGCTTTTTTATTATTTCCTAAATTTTGACCTTATTAATACCTATTAATAGTTTCCACAAATCCTTATGTTTGGCTCCTACAATGGGCCATATCATTTGATATTGAGGTGCCACTATACCTCCATGATTCCAGATAATAGGAATTCCTGCCATACTTCTTATCATTTCTACCTTCTGACCTTTTTTTCAGACCAGTTGAACATAGTTTGGCCGTGGCACACACACCGAGAGGGGCAGTTCAAGCTAAACATCCCCTTAGGAGACCAATCAATAATGATTCCATAGGAATCACTGTGCAGCACCTCTGACTGTTCTGCAATACACTCTTCCTAAAAAAGTACGTTCATTATTTCTGGCCAGGTTCTATTTTGTTTACAAATAGGTTTTGGAGGGCAGTATGCCTCTATTATAGGAGCAGACTTATTATGGTAAATACTGAGATCAGAAAGCATGTGTAACTGCATCATAGAGTGATTACATCCAGGCATTATTATCAGTCAAGATAGATAAATATGACCAATAAGTATAATTGTTCTCTGTGTCAGCCCTTATTTAAGGAATACTCATGGCAGTGGTGATAACTGCTATCATAGCTACCATTAAATTTTTCATTGTGACTGGTTGTCCTGCTTTCCTCAGGTTTTCTTCTGCCACCTGTGAGAACTTCTTGATCTGTCCCCAGGTGGGTGACTCTGTTCAACGGGTGTTGCTCATGACCGTTATAGTCCTCCTCAATGTCAGTCTTGGCATGGGTGCAACTGGTGGGTCCTCAGGATCCTCCTGGTATATCTTCCTTGACATATGGCTTATGATAAGGTTTCAGGTATCTTGATGGTATCAAAATCGGCTGTTGATTTTGGTCTGGAGAAATGCAAGCATAACCTCTACCCCAAGTTATTGTTTAACCTATTTCCCAATTTTTTGTTATCGGATCTCTCCACCAAATCAGTTGTTCTGCTTCTTTGTAGATGGTTTCTGTAGATGCTATTCAGCTACTGATAACATCTGCCCTTGGGCAGGCTCAAAACTTTTAAAGTTAATAATGCCAGATTCAGTCGCATCTGTGGGGTTCCATATACTCTGTCTCCCCCTTTCTGCTTTTGCAACTGCTGTTTTAGGGAAAGATTCATTCTTTCCACTGTGGCTTGTCCTTGATAATTGTATGGGATACCAGTAACGTGTTTAATATTCCACATAGAGAAAAAATTAGCTAGAGCTTGTCTAGTATAGCCTGGGGCATTATCTATTTTAATAGAAGCTGGAATGCCCATCATGGCAAAACACTGCAAAAGGTGACACTTAACACAGGCAGAAGACTCTCCTGTTTGACATATAGCCCAGATAAAGTGAGAAAAGGTTTCCACACATACATATACACAAGCTAGTATCCCAAATGAAGGAACATGTGTGACATCCATTTGCCAAAGAGAGTTAGATTCCAATCCTTGAGGATTAACTCCTCCTGTAAAATATTAGGAATGTACCATTTGGCAAGTTGGGCATCTCTGGATAATAGCTTTAACTTCTTTCCAGGTAATGCTGTATTTGTGTTTGAGACCAGAAGCATTAACATCGGTTAAATTGTGAAAGTGTCTAGCATTAGATATTGCATAAGCAACTAGGTGATCAGCCATTTTATTTCCTTCAGTCAAAGGTCCTAGAAGGGGTATAGGAGCCCTAATGTGAGTGATGTAAAAAGGGTGCATTCTACTCTTAACTGCTGTTTGAAATTGGGTAAATAAACTCATCAGTTGTTTATCTGTATGAAATTGTAACTGAGCATTTTCGATTAACTGTGTGGAATGAACCATGTTTGAAGAATCAGAAATCACATTAATAGGCATATCAAAAGCAGTCAATACCTCAATTACAGCTACAAGCTCAACTTTTTGAGTTGAAGTATAGGGCACCTGGAAAACTTAAATTTTTGTGCCAAAATAAGAACATTTACCATTAGTAGACCCATCTGTAAAAACATTCTCAGCATCTTCAATTGGTTTAAATTTAGTTATTGCAGTGAGATTCCAATTAGTTAATTTCAAAAACTGAAACAGCTTCATTTTAGAAAAATGATTATCGAAAATAACCACAAACCAAGCTAAATGGATTTGCCAAATAAGACTACTTATAAAGCTTGCTGTATTTGTGTCTTCGTGAGAGGGACAACAATTAATTTTTCCAGGATCATAATCATGTAATTTAACAAACTGAGTTTTCCCAATCCCTATAATAGTAGCAATTTGATCTAAATGAGGAGTTAGAGTCCATGAATTAGTATGTGGAAGAAAAAGCCATACTACTAAGTCCTGTTCTTGGACAATAACACCAGTAGTTGAAGGCTGAGTTGAAAAAATTAGCAAATCTAGAGTCTTCTCTGGATCTACTCTATTTATTTTAGACTTATGGACTTGCTTTTCAATCAGCTGTCACTCGATCTCGGCCTCCTTTGTTAATTGCCAAGGGCTAGTGAGACTAGGATTTCCTCTAAGGATAGAAAACAGATTACTCATGGCATAGGTAGGAATTCCTAGAGCAGGTCTTATCCAATCAATGTAAGCTAGTAATTTTTGAAAGTCATTTAATGTTTTTAATTGATCCCTATCAATTGTTACTTTCTGTGGCACAATGGTAGTGTCATTTACTAAGGTCCCCAAGTAGGAGTAAGAAGTAGTAGTCTGAAATTTGCCAGGAGCTATAATTAAACCAGTGCAAGAAATCGAATTTTGCAAGTGATCATAACATTGGAGTAATACTTCTCAAGTGGGGGCAGCACAAACTATAACATCCATATAATGAATAATGTAACACTGTGAATTTTTTTATGAGTATGTTCAATTGCTTGTCCTACACACGTCTGGCAAACTGTTGGACTGTTTAACATGTCTTGTGGCAACACTTTCCAATGATAACACTTAGCAGGCTGCAGGTTTTTTTACTGCAGGAATTGTAAACGCAAACCGTTCACAGTCTTGCTCAGCTAAAGTGATAGTAAAGAAATAGTCTTTTAAATCTATGACTATTAAAGGCCAATTTTTTGGAATTATAGCAGGAGAAGGCAATCCTGGCTGTAATGTTCCCACAGGTTGTATAACTGAATTGATGGCTCTTAAGTCAGTTAACATTCTCCATTTACCTGCTTTTTTCTTAATTATGAAAACTGGAGAATTCAAAGGAAAAATGTTGGAGCTATGTGCCCATTTTCTAATTCTTAAGTAACTAATTTCTCTAAAGCCTCAAGTTTCTCTTTACTTAGTGGCCATTGTTCTATCCACATTGGCTTATCTGTTACTGTTAACCATTTTAAAAGTATAGGTTCTGGAGGATTAACAATGGCTGCCATCAAAAATTATTTCCTAATCTTTGGCAGGAACTTTGTTTTTCCACTTGAAGGGGTTCTTTCAAACCTTGCAAATTTTTTTCTAGTCCCATACCAGGGACATACCCTATTTCATGCATCATATGTTGACTTTGAGGGCTATATAATTGTTCTGGAATTAGAAATTGTGCCCCTCATTGTTGTAATAAATCTCTCTCCCATAAATTTATAGGTATAGAAGTTATAATTGGTTGAATAGTCACGGGTTGTCCATTGGGCCCTTCACAATGCAAAATATAACTACTTTGATATACTTCAGGGACTTTACCAACTCCAACTATGTTAAATTGAGTGGATTGAATTGGCTACACGGACGGCCAATGCTGTAGAGAAATGATTGAAATGTCCACTCCTGTATCTACCAAACCTTTAAATTTCGTTCCCTGAATAGTTATTTCACAGGTAGGAAGTTTATCATTAATTTCATTTACCAATAAGTTGATTTTCCTTGTTTATTTGTGCTTCCAAATCCTCCTGTTCATTTAGTTTCACTTTTTCCCATTCCCGCACATGGCACAATCAGGAGATGTGCTAGCACTCTCCTCACTCTGCTTTGCAGGGAACAGAAGTTGATATTGTTGTAACCAAGCGAGTTAGAGAGAAACCCCACACTTTGAGATGAATTCAGGAGTCTTTTATTAGCCAGTAACCAAGAGACAGCTAACACTCAAAATTCTCTTGGCCCCAAGGAAGGGGCTTGATTTTCTCTTATGCTTTGGTTTAGAGAGGGGAAGGGGAATCTAGCTGAAGCAATCTTACAGAAGTAAAACGGACAAAAAAGTTAAAAAGAAAAATGGTTACAGGAAAACAAACTGTTCCAGGTGCAGGGGCTTTAAATTTATCACCAAGGTGATAGGTGTGGGGGTTCTGGGTGTCATCTGCCAGACACAAACGCAGGGCCGTTATGGTACCATCTCCTGAGCAAATTCCTGGGAACTGCGGAAGTAACTTGCCACAGTACCTTATCAGTTAATTGGACCCTTAGATGTGCTGAGAGTCAGCTTGCACAAGTTAAGTCCTTGAGGGAGGGAGTGGGTAAGGAGCCCTTAATGTCTTGCAAGCGAAGGAGCCAAATGGAATCCCTCTGGCTTTTTCAGCTAAGAGAGAGTCTATCAAGTTAATACAAGATAGGGTACCACATACCCCACTTGTGATTTTGGGGAATCAAATCAATGTAAGAAGGGGGTTACATTGGGTTTTAAGATACATAATAAGTTTGACAGAAGCTGTGCATTGCTTTACAAAGTTAAGAAACTAATTTTAAAATAGAAGGTTTGAAGACTAAACTTAAGAGGAGGAGAAAAGGAGTCCTGCTAATCCAATAATTAGAATAGTTAGTCAAGGATTACAGTTAAACATGCTTTGGTACTGGGTGTGTTATGAATCTTAGCAGGAATGGTGTCCACTTTCAGAGTCATCAGTGTGGTGAGGATGACAGTATGAGGTCCTTTACAAGCAGGAGTGAGTTCCTCTTTATGGAACTTTTTAACAAATACCAGGTCACCTGGCTGGAACGAGTGGCAGGGCTCTGTCTGGTCAGTAATTGGATTGGGATAAGCTCCCCGGACAGGTGGCTGGATGATATCTTGTACCTATTGGAGAGACTATAGGTACTGTAATAAATTAGCATGTGAGATTTTAGGCAAGATGGGCAGAGCCCTCATAAACATGAATTTAAAAAGTGAGAACTCAGCTCGGTAAGGGATATATTTTACTTTAAGAAGGGCTAGAGGAAGGAACTTTACCTAATCTTCACCAGTCTTTAAGATTAATTTCGTAAAAGTACTTTTAGGATGCAGTTGTTCATGCATTCTACCTGTCTAGAGCTCTGAAGTTGATAGGCACAATGGAGCTTTCATTGAATGTTTAATGACTGACTGAGGTATGGACAAGGTGAAGGCTGGTCTATTATCAGACCTTATGGCAACAGGCAGCTTATGTCGATGGATGAGTTCATTGAGTAAAAATGTAACTACTGTGGTGGCAGTCTCATTTTTGTTGGCAAATGCCTTAGTCTATCCACAAAATTTGTCTACTAGCACTAGGAGATAGTTATACCTTGCCCAATGTGGTTTTATCTCTGTAAAGTCAATTTCCTACCTTTTTCTTGGTGAGCCTCCCTGGAGGCAGTGGCCTCGGCTGGGTTTAGGGCCTTGCTGGTCGTTTATCTGAGTGCAAGCTGTATACCAGGGAGCTGCTTGATCCATTAAGTTCTGAAGGCAGGGGATCTTGAAAGGGCTCCTTAGGAGCTGGGCCAATTTTACTTTTCCTTCTTGATTTTCACTTGCTTGAAGATTTGAAGCTTGTTTATCTTTTTCTGAGGCTGGCAAATTGGGTTTTGGAAAGGACACAATGGACAGCTGGATCGACCAGGAGCTGAGCTGTCTTTTGAGCTGTAGAGTTTGCTCTTTGGCTGTTACTAGCTACAGCCATGCCTTCTCTTTGATGTCCTTTGTAGTGAATTACAGCCACCTGCCAAGGAAGCCAAACAACTTCAAGCAGGGCTAAATTTTTCTTTGTTTTTAATAGTCTTTTCTTCCGGGGTGAGTAGTCTTTGCCCTTGGTAGATGGCTCTGTGTACATACACAGTAGCAAAAGCATATCTGCTGTCAGTGTAAATGTTAATAAGTTTGTCTTTACTTCATTGGAGGGCTTGTGTAAGGGCAACCAACTCAGCCCTCTGAGCTGAGGTGCCAGCTGGTAGAGTTTGGGCTGATAGAATATCCGTCTCTGTAGTGACAGCCGCACCAGTCTTTTGAACTCCCTGCTCAAGGAAGCTGCTACCATCTGTAAACACGGTGTTGTCTGCCTCCTTTAAAGGCACATCTTTGAGATCATGTCAGCTAGTTTTTGTAGTCTTCAACAGTTCTTTGCAGTCATGGACAGGTGTGTAAGATCTGGATCAGTGAGCAAGATAGCTGGATTTAAACACCCTATGGGAAAGTTAAGGCTGATCTAACAGATACTGCAGGTTGCGAGTGTTTGAAATTCATTTGTCAGAGGCACTTTGTAGCAATGTCTCTACGGCATGAGGAACCATAAGGGTTAAATTCTGGCCTAGAGTCAGTTTATTAGCCTCCTGGATTAGGCTTGCTGTTGCCGCTATGGCTCCGCAGACAACTTGGCTACCTGGAGGCCACAGGGTCTAGCTATGGCCTTCCACAGTTGTGGTCACCATGGGCTCCCAGGGGCTAAGTGAGAGGGAGCCTTGGCCTTATCAATCATCAGATTCCTCTGCTGTGGGGAGGATGAGGCCTTTTTTTATTTTCTGGTTTTTCTTCTGGCTTTAATGGGCATTCTTTCTTCCAGTGTCCTATCTGCTTGCAATAGGTGCATTGGTTTCTTTGTAGGGAATCTTGTTCACTTTTCTTGCCTTTCTGGCATAGACCCGGGGTCTTCTGGACAGTGTTCTGTGATGGGGGCCCTTCATTTCTGGCTTCTTGAATGGCTGCCACTAAGATTTTTGCTTGTCTCTCTGATGCTTTGTCAGCAGCCTTTTCAGCTGCCTCAGCTGCTTGTTTTTGCTTTTCAAACTCTTGATTGTCAAAAACTTCTTGGGCTATTTCTAAAAGTTGACCGATATTTATCCCAGCAATTCCTTCCAGCTTTTGTGGCTTTCTTTTAGCGTGAGGGGCTGCCTGAGCCACTGAGTCAATAGGGGTGTAAATCTGATAGGCCTCCTGGAGGTGTTCTAAAAATGCTCCAGGTGACTCATCAGGCCTCTGGACAACTTCAGTTGTCTTAGACAGATTCATGGGTTTTCGAGCAGCTCCTTTGATACCCACAAGAAGATACCAGTGAAAATTATCTAAATGTTTTCTCCCACCCTAGGAGTTAGGATCCTAACTAGGCCGGGTAGAGGGGAAAATTTCCTCAAGGAGGTCTCTGTCTTCCTCTTCTGGCCTATCGGCTGATGTGAGGAAATGCTTTCTAGCCTCTCTTCGCATACGTTCCCTCTCTTCAGAGGTGAAAAGTGTCAAAAGGAGCTGCTGAAAATCGTCCCAGATGGGCCAGTGAGTCCAGAGCACGGGCTCCATCAGTGAGGTCAAAACCTGGGTTTTTTCAGAAAAGGGGGGATTATAAGCCTTCCAGTTACAAGTCAGAAGTAGAGAAGGGGACATAAACTAAAAATACAGCAGTGTGCTCATCACCCAGAGGGATTTGTGCCTCTCTCTGTGGGTGGAGGGGGCTACCTCCTTCTGCCATGGCCACAGTCTGGAGGCTATGGGCAGAGAGCTCACAGGGGATGTAGTTGAGGAGACAAGAGAAGATTCTGGGGGAGCAGGAGGGTTACAGAGTGGCAGAAATGGGTGAGGAACACTCTCCTCTTCTTCAGAAGGAGGCAGTACAGGAGGAGCCGAGGGAGCTGAGGGTTGGAGTAAAAGTGCGGTCTGGCTCAGAAGGACCTTGGAGGTGGGATCATGAAAGACACATGAGTGGAGCCAAGGGGGAGGGCTTTGGACCAATCGCAGCCATTGATCAATGTAGGGAAACTGATTGGGGTGACCAGGAGTTCCAGCAACACCCCACCACACAGCCTGAACAACTGTGGGGTTAAGTGACTCTTCTTAGGGGCCAACTGGTTCTAAACTGTGGCCATTCCACTTCACTGATTGTCCAGAGTTTGCCTTTCTTTAGGTGGACTCCATAATCCTCTCAGAAGCCTAGAGAGAAATTTTGTAACATACATTGGAGAGGGCTCCAATCTTTATGAGGCTGGGAAGAAGAATTTCCAATTCTGGAGGTGGGTCTGGGGCCAGAGGGACTTATGTGATTTCCTATTTCCCTTTGATTTATAGACTAAATATCTTTGTTGTCTCCATGACTTAAAGGCAAATAGTTCCAACTTGGCCTTTTCTTTTAAGGGTTTGAGGAGGGAGAGCAGAGCCAAGTCTTGGAGATTATGTACTTGCTGCAACACAGGAAAATGAGATGTGCAGGGCAAGGGACGAGGAAAAAAGGGGTTACTCAGATCTTTTCAGGCTGGGAGGAGCCATGCCAGGCAGCACTGGGTTGTCAGGATGACTCCACAGTCCCCCGCCCTGCCTCCAGGCCTTGTCAGGTGCTGAAAGCCTGTTTCAGAAGCCTGGCCCAGGGCCTAGGTCACTACAGCAGGCCAGGCCCCTGCATTCCAAACCAGGTGTGGATTCACTGGTGCTCGGGGAAGTTGGGGACTTTGACACCTGAAGGCACAGGAGCCAGGCGCCTTTGGGGGTCCCTGGGGGAGGGTGTCTGGTGCTGTCACCTCCTACTCCCCACCTGTCCATCGGGGAACCTCTGCTGTGGGGGACTGAGGCTGTTTCTTTTGTAAACTGATGGAAGTATGCCTGGCCCCTGGGCCAGGCAACCTGAAGAGACATGCCTGAGACCTCCTGTGATAGAAAATCTGCACTGAAGACTTTGAAGAAGTCATTGCCCACTCGTCTTGGGCAATATCTATAACTTGACATCTGAAACTCAGACACCAGACAAGACAATAGACACTAAACAGGACAGCAGACATAAAAACAGGACAACAGACACAAAATCAGGCAATAGATAAAAAGACAGGCAATAGACTCCAAAATAGGCAATAGACACAAAAACAAGCAATAGACCTAAAAACAGGCAATAGACACAAAAACAGGCAATAGACCTAAAAACAGGCAATAGACACAAAAACAAGCAATAGATCTAAAAACAGGCAATCGACACAAAAACAGGCAACAGACACAAAAACAGGCAATAGACACAAAACAGGCAGTAGACCCTGGAGAATATAAACAATTATGGCAGTTTTCATAGACAGACAAGGGGAGGGGGTCCCACGATGGGATCAGTCAGATGCCCACCTGGCTGCTTTCCCTGAGGGGACTTGGGATCCTCTTAGCATTGGCAGGCCCGTGTAAACCCCCAGCTGGGATCAAGCTATGCCCGATGCTGCCTTAAGCCTTATTAGGTTGCCACAGGACCACAAGTGAGGACCCACTGTAACTCTGTAGCTTTCACGGTGGAGCTACAAAATGGAGATTCAAGGGCAAGCCCTTGAACTTCCCATTCATGCACACATTCACACAGAGTTTATAACAATTTTTCTTATTTCTGTTCTAAACAGAGGTCTCCAGGAGACCTGAACGAGAGGAGGAGAAGAGATAGAGAAAAGGGGAGGGAGAGAAAGAGAGAGAGAGAGACAGAAAGAGAGAGGGAGAAACTAATCTTAATGGAGAGGCCAGCCTGTCAGAAAAGAGGACTCTGTCCTCCAGCGTCCTGGAACATGGACAGAGTCAAAGAGAGAGACGCCCTCTTTAGGGAGAGTTTCCTCTCACCAAACCAGAACCAAAAGCATCTAACAGAAAACCAGGGCTCTGCCCTCCAGTGTCCTGGAATGCAGGCAGGGTCAAAGAGAGAGACACCCTCCTGAGGGATGTGTCCCTCTCACCAAACCAAAGTCAGATCTGACTTACCTTCCCGGGACCAGAAGCTGAGGACTCAGAAGGTTAATTTTTGTGGGCACACACCGGTAGTCGATCCTCTCTCCTCCAGAAGACGGTCGCCTATAGGGACCTGGAACTTTTTCAGGTGGCACCCCCCATAAGCTGGCCAGCCATCCAGGGGAGCCTAGAGCGAGTCTGGCTCTCACTCAGTGGTGAATAATCTAGCTGGGGCCTCCAAATGTTGTAACAAAGCGATTTAGAGAGAAACACCACAATTTGAGACGAATTCAGGAGTCCTTTATTAGCCAGTGACTGAGAGATGGCTGACGCTCAAAATTCTCTCAGCCCTGAACAAGGGACTTGATTTTCTCTTATACTTTGGTTTAGAGAGGGGAGGGGGAATCTAGCTGTAGCAATCTTACTGAAGTAAAACAGACAGAAAAGTTAAAAAGACAAATGGTTACAGGAAAACAAACAGTGCCAGGTGCAGGGGCTTTAAATTTGTCACAAGGTGATAGGTGGGGTGGCTCTGGGTGTCATCTGCCGGACACAAACGTGGGGGCTTCATGGTACCATCTCCCAAGCAAATTTCTGGGAACTTCAGACCTAACTTGCCACAGTACTTTATCAGTTAATTGGACTCTTTGATGTGCTGAGAGTCAGCTTGCACAGGTTAAGTCTTTCAGGAAGGGAGAGGGTAAGGAGCCCTTAATGTCTTGCAAATGAAGGAGCCAAATGGAATCCCTCTGGTTTTTCAGCTAAGAGTCAAACATGTTAATACAAGTTAGGGTATCACAACATAAAAATTTGAATTTCCCATTTATAATCTGAATCAATGACTCCTGTATGTATTTGTACACTTTTTAAACTTAAACTAGACCTTCCTAAAAGTAATCCTATCATCCCCACTGGCAAGGGTCCACAGACTCCTGTTGGGACCTTTTGCAGGGTTTCCCCAGGCAGAAGGCTCACAGCTTTTGTGCAGCTTAAGTCTACTGCTGCACTAACGCCTGTGGTGGGGGACAGACATTGTACAGGGGTGAGGGAATGGCTTGAGCTTGAAATGCCCTGGTTTACAATGGTGTCCAGGAAGGGCCCCTCATGTTGTTTCCTGAAATCAGGTTCCCTTCTTTACCAAACTCAGACTGACACTGATTGGCCAAATGTTTTCCTTTTTTACATTTCAGATATATTTTTGGCTCAGCCGTTTTCTTCTTTCCCCTATCTGGCAGCCTGACTTGCTGATTTTTTCTGGATTATTTTTTAGTATGACCATGCTTCCCACAGTTAAAACAAGCTCCAGGAAATGGAGTATTTCCCTTACCCACTCTCAGTCCTGCCATTGCCTGTGCCAACCAAGTAGCTTTATGCAGATTACCTCTGATACAATCACAAGCCTTTATATAATCAACTAAATATGCTTTCCCAAATTTAAAAGGAAAAGGCTCAAATGTAGCTATAATACTTCCCTGTTGATCTGGGGGGTGTATTCTAACAGTGAACTACCAAGCTTCTAAATGACCCTCTCATCTAGTTTGCTGAATTCCTGCCTGAATAGAACTAAGAGCAGTCACTTGAAGTGCTGCTCGAACAGTCACGGGGGCCACTAACTTTCGCCCAGAGTCCTCCAGAAAAGAAAGACCTAGAGGATTTTTTTCTTCAAAGTAATAATGAGGGGGTGCAGAAGGATAGGGATGAACCTCTCTCTCCTTTGACACTTCAGTTTTAGCTGGCAAATAAACCTTGTTTTTAACCTCTTCTATTACTTCTTTATACTCTCATTCCTCCTTATCATCAGTGTGAAAAAATTCCCAGGTGGAACGAACCACAGTCCACACTTGTCGCATTTTTACCCTGATGCTTCTGAGCTCCCCTTTTTACTCACCATGGGAATTGCTTTAATAGTACTCGGGTGTCCTCCAGCTAGATCCACAATCTCCAACAGTTGCTCCGGTGACCCTTCGACCTAGGTTTGAGCTCACACGATGGACGCCACTTAATGAGACCAGCTCAATCAGGGAGACCCTAACCCAGCGGCCCTAGAGGAATTAAAGAGATGCACAAGGAAATATAGAAGTGTGAAGTGGGAAATCAGGGGTCTCACTGCCTTCAGAGCTGAGAGCTCTGAACAGAGAATTACCCACGTATTTATTAACAGTAAGCCAGTCATTAGCATTGTTTCTATAGATATTTGATTAACTAAAAGTATCCCTTATGGGAAATGAAGGGATGGGCCAAAATAAAGGGGTGGATCCAGCTAGTCATCTGCAGCAGGAAAATGTCCTTAAGGCACTGATGGCTCATACTATTGTTTGTGGTTTAAGAATGCCTTTAAGTGATTTTCCACCCTCTGTGGGCCAGGTATTCCTTGCCCTCATTCTGATACACCCAAAACCTTCCAGGGTGGGCATGACAGCCAACATGAACATGTCACTGTGGTGCAGAGATTTTGTTTATGGCCAATTTTGGAGCCAGTTTATGGCCGGATTTTGGGGGGCTTGTTCCCAACAGCAGTTTCTCAGATAGCTTTCTTCTAGTTTATATCCTGTGATATATGCTTTTTCGCCATTGTCCTCAAAGAGCTCACAAATATCCATTCACAAAATGGAAAAAAAGTCTGTTTCCAAACTGCTGAATCAAAAGAAGAGTTTAACTCTGTGAGAACAATGCACACATACCAAAGTAGGTTCTTAGAAAGCTCCTTTCTGGTATTTACTTTAAGATGTCTCCTTTTTCATGATAGGCCTCAATGCACTCCTAAATATCCCTTTTCAGATTCTACGAAAACAGTGTTCCCAAACTGCCAAATGAAAAGCAAGGTTTAAGTCTGCGAGGTGAATGGACATATCACAAAGTGGTTTCTCAGATAGCTTCCTTCTAGTTTTTATCCTGGGATATTCACTTTATTCCATTGGCCTCAATGAGTTTGCAAATGTCCATTTGCACAATGCACAAAAACAGTGTTTCCAAATTGCTGAATGAAAAGAAATTTTTAACTCTGCGAGATGAATGCACACGTCACAAAGGGGTTTCTCAGATAGCTTCCTTCTAGTTTTTATCCTGGGATATTCGCTTTTTCACCATTGGCCTCAATGAGATCCCAAATGTCCATTCATTGAATGAACAAAAAGACTGTTTCCAAACTGCTGAATCAAAAGAAGGGTTTAACATTGGGAGATGAATTCACACAACATGAAGCAGTTTCCCAGAAATCCTCTTTCTAGTTTTCAACTGAAGCTGTTTCCTTTTTCACCTTACGCATCAAAGCGTTACAAAATATCCCTTTGCAGATTCTATTTTAAAACGTTTCCAAACTGCTGGATTAAAAGAAAGGTTTAACTCTGCTAGGTGAATGCACACATCACAAAGCTGTTTCTCAGATAGCTTCCTTCTAATCTGTATCATGATATGTCCCCTTTTTCACCATTGGCCTCAACGATCTCCCAAATGTCCATTCACAGAATGGACAAAAATCTCTTTCCAAATTACTAAATCCAAAGAAAGGTTTAACTCTGTGAGATGAATGCACATATCACAAAGGAGTTTCTCTGAAAGTGTCTTTCTGGTTTTTATCTGAAGATATTTCCTTTTTCACTGTAGACCTGAAGGCACTCACAAATATCCCTTCGCAGATTCTCCAAAAACAGTGTTTCCAAACTGCTGAATGAAAAGAAATATTTAATTCTGTGAGATCAATGCACACATCACAAAGAGCTATCTCAGATAGCTTCTTTCTAGTTTTTTATTTGAGATACTAGATTTTTTGCCATTGTCCTCAATGAGTTCCCAAGTGTCCATTTGCAGAATAGACAAAAACAATGTTAACATACTGCTGAATGAAAAGAAAGGTTTAACTCCGTGAGATGAATGCACACATTGCAAAGCAGTTTCTCAGAAAGTTTCTTTCTAGTTTTTATCTGAAGATGTTTCCTTTTTCACCATGTATCTCCATGCACTCCCAACTATCCCTTTGCACACTTTACAAAAACAGCGTTTCCAAACTGCTGAATGAATAGAAAGGTTTAACTTTGCGAGAACAATGCACACATCACAAAGCAGTTTCTCAGATAGCTTCCTTCTAGTTCATAATATCGGATATTACCTTTTTTGCCTTTGGCCTCAATGAGCCCCAAATGTGCATAAACAGAATGGACAAAAACAGTGTTTCCAAACTGATGAATCAAAAGAAAGGTTTAGCTCTGTGAGACGAATGCACACATCAAAAAGCATTTCTTAGAAAGCTTCTTTCTAGTATTTATCTGAAGATATTTTCTTTTTCACCATAGGACTAAATGTTCTCTCAAATATTCCTTCGCAGAATCTACAAAAACAGTGATTCCAAACTGCTAAATGAAAAAAATATCTATCCCTGAGAGATGAGTGCCCACATCACAAAGCAGTTTCTCAGAGAGATTCCTTCTAGTTTTTACCCAGGGATATTCACTTTTTCACCATTGGCCTCAATGAGATCCAAAATGCCCATTTGCAGAATATACAGAAACAGTGTTTGGAAACCTCTGAATCCAAAGAAAGTTTTAACTCTGTGAGATGAATGTGCACGTGACAATGCAGTTTCTCAGAAAGCTTCTCTCTAATTTTTATCTGATGATATATTCTTTTTAATTTTAAGCCTCAATGTGCTCAGAAATATACCCTTGCAGATTCTACAAAAACAGTGGTTCCAAACTTCTGAATGAAAAGAAAGGCTTAACTCAGAGAGATCAATGCACACATCATGAAGCAGTTTCTCAGACACCTTCCTTCTCGTTTTTATCCTGGGATGTTTGCTTTTTTCACCATTGACCTCAATAAGCTCCCAAATGTCCATTCACAAAATGGACGAGACCAATATTTCCAAACTGCTGAATCTAAAGAAATATTTAACTGTGTGAGATTAATGCACACATCACAAAGCAGTTTCTCAGTAAGTTTCTTTCTAGTTTTTAACAGAAGATGTTTCCTTTTTCACCGTAGGCCTAAATGCACTCCCAAATATCACTTTGCAGATTCTACAAAAACAGTGTTTCCAAACTTCTGACTGAAAAGGAAGTTTTAACTCTGAGAGGTGAAAGGACATAACACAAAGTGGTTTCTCAGGTAGCTTCCTTCTAGTTTCTATCCTGGGATACTCAGTTTTTCACCATTGGCCTCTGTGAGCTCCCAAATGTGCATTCTCAGAATGGACCAAAACAGTGTTTCCAAACTGCTAAATCCAAAGAAAGTTTAACTCTGTGAGATGGATCCATGCATCACAATGCAGTTTTTCAGAAAGCTTCTTTCTAGTTTTCAATGAAGATATATCCTTTTTCACCATAGGCCTCATGGCACTCCCAAATATCCCTTTGCAGATTCGAAAAAAACAATGCTTACAAACTGCTGAATGAAAAGTTAGGTTTAAATCTGTGAGATGAAGGCACACATCAAAAAGCAGTTTCTCAGATAGCTTCCTTCTAGTTTTTATCCTGGGATAGTCACTCTTTCACCATTGGCCTCAATCATCTCCCGAATGTCCATTTGCACGATGGACCAGAACAGTGTTTCCAGACTGGTGAATCAAAAGAAATGTTTAACTCTGTTAGATGAATGCACACATCACAAAGCATTTTCTCAGATAGCTCCTTTCCAGTTTCTATCCTGGGATATTCACTTTTTTGCCTTTGGCCTCAATGAGCTGCAAATGTCCATTCACAGAATGGACATGAACAGTGTTTTCAAGCCGCTGAATAAAAAGAAAGATTTAACTCTGCCAGATGAATGCACACATCACAAAGGAGTTTCTCAAAATGATACTTTCTAGTTTTTATCTGAAGATGTTTGCTTTTTCACCATAGGCCTTAAAGCACTCCCAAATATCCCTTCTCAAATTCTACAAAAACAATGTTTCCAAACTGCTGAATGAAAAGAAAGGTTTAACTCTGAGAGGTGAATGCACACATCACAGATCGGTTTCTGAGGTAGTTACCTTGTCTTTGTTATCCTGGGGTATTCTCATTTTCGACATTGGTCTCAATGAGCACCCAAATGTGCATTTGCAGAATGGACAAAAGCAGTGTTTCCAAACAACTGAATCAAAAGAAAGATTGAACTCTGTGTGATGAATGCAAAAATGTAAAAGCAGTCTCTCAGAAACTTCTTTCTAGTTTTTATCTGAAGGTATTTCCTTTTCACCATAAGCCTTTGAAAATCCCTTTTCAGATCCTACAAAAACAGTGTTTCCAAACTGCCAAATGAAAAGAAAGGTTTAACACTGCGAGATAAAGGCACACATCATAAGGTCGTTTCTCAGATAGTTTCGTTCTAATTTTTATCGTGGGATATTTGCTTTCTCCCTATTGGCCTCAATGAGCTCCCAAATGTCCATTGGAAGAATAGATAAAAACAGAGATATCAAACTATTGAATAAAAAGAACCATTTAAATCTGTGAGATCAATGCACAACATCAAAAAGCAGATTCTCAGAAAGCTTCTTTCAATTTTTAATCTGAAGATATTTCCTTTTTCACCATAGGCCTTAATGCACTCCCAAATATCCCTTTGCAGATTTTACAGAAACAGTCTTTCCACTGCTGAATGAAAAGAGAGGTTGAACTCTGCTAGTTGAATGCAAACATCACAAAGCGGTTTCTCAGATAGCTTCCTTCTAGCTTTTATCCTGGGACTTTGTTTTTTCACCACTGGCCTCAATGAGCTTCCAAATGTCTATTCGGAGAATGGACAAAAACAGTGTTTCCAAAACGCTGAATCCAGAGAAATGTTTAACTCTGTGAGATGAATGCATGCATCACAAAGCAGTTTCTCAGAAAGCTTGTTTTCCTTTTTTGTCTGAAGGTATTTCATTTTTCACCATAGGCCCTAATGCACACCCAAATATCACTTCACTGATTCTACAAAAACAGTGTTTCCTAACTGCTGAATGCAAAAAAATGGTTTAAATCTGTGAGATCAATGCACACATCATAAAGCGGTTTCTCAGATAGCTTCCTTCTTGTTTTTATCATGGGATATACTCTTTTTTGCATTGGACTCAAAGAGCTAAAAAATGTCCAATTTAGAATGGACAAAACTGGTGTTTCCAAACTGCTGAATCAAAAGAAAGTTTTAATTCTATGAGATGAATGCACACATCACAAAGCAGTTTCTGAGAATGTTTCTTTCCAGTTTTTAACTTAAAATGTTTCCGTTTTCACCATAAGTGTCAATGCACTCCCAAATATCCCTTCACACATTCGCTAAAAACAGTGCAGGACATAGGCATGGGCAAGGACTTCATGTCTAAAACACCAAAAGCAATGGCAACAAAAGCCAAAATTGACAAATGGGATCTAATTAAACTAAAGAGCTTCTGCACAGCAAAAGAAACTACCATGAGTGAACAGGCAACCTACAAAATGGGAGAAAATTTTTGCAACCTACTCATCTGACAAAGTGCTAATATCTAGAATCTACAATGAACTCAAACAAATTTACAAGAAAAAAACAAACAACCCCATCAAAAAGTGGGTGAAGGACATGAACAGACACTTCTCAAAAGAAGACATTTATGCAGCCAAAAAACACTCGAAAAAATGCTCATCATCACTGGCCATCAGAGAAATGCAAATCAAAACCACAATGAGATACCATCTCACACCAGTTAGAATGGCAATCATTAAAAAATCAGGAACAACAGGTGCTGGAGAGGATGTGGAGAAATAGGAACACTTTTACACTGTTGGTGGGACTGTAAACTAGTTCGACCATTGTGGAAGTCAGTGTGGTGATTCCTCAGGGATCTAGAACTGGAAATATCATTTGACCCAGCCATCCCATTACTGGGTATATACCCAAAGGACTATAAATCATGCTGCTATAAAGACACATGCACACGTAAGTTTATTGCGGCATTATTCATGATAGCAAAGACTTGGAACCAACCCAAATGTCCAACAATGATAGACTGGATGAAGAAAATGTGGCACATATACACCATGGAATACTATGCAGCCATAAAAAATGATGAGTTCATGTCCTTTGTAGGGACATGGATGAAATTGGAAATCATCATTCTCAGTAAACTATCACAAGAACAAAAAACCAAACAGTGCGTATTCTCACTCATAGGTGGGAACTGAATAATGAGATCACATGGACACAGGACGGGGAATATCACACTCTGGGGACTGTTGTGGGATGTGGGGAGGGGGGAGGGATAGCATTGGGAGATATACCTAATGCTAGATGATGAGTTAGTGGGTGCAGCGCAACAGCATGGCACATGTATACATATGTAACTAACCTGCACAATGGGCACATGTACCCTAAAACTTAAAGTATAATAATTTAAAAAAAGACAAAGGCAAAAAAAAAACCACACAAAAAAACAGTGTTTCCAAACTGCTGAATGAAAAGAAAAGTTTAAGTCTGTGAGATGAATGCACACATCACAAAGCAGTGTCTCAGAAAAATTCTTTCAAGGTTTTATCTGAATAGTTTCCTTTTTAAGCATAGGCATTCTTCCACTCCCAAATATCCCTTCACAGATTTTACAAAGACAGTGTTTCCAAACTGCTGAATGAGAGAAAATTTTCACTCTTTGAGATGAATGCACTAATTGCAAAGCAGTTTCTAAGAAAGGTTTATTTCTTCAAGATGAATGCTCACATCACCAAGCAGTTTCTCAGATATATTTCTTCTAGTTTTTATCCTGGGATATACACTTTTTCGCCACTGGCCTCAAGGAGCTCCCAAGTGTTTTTCAAACTGTGTTTGCAAACTACTGAATCAAAAGAAAAGTTTAACTATGTGAGATGAATGCACACTTCTGAAGGAGTTTCTCAGAAAGATTCTTTCTAGTTTTCACCTGAAGACATTTTATTTTTCACCATAGGCCTCAATGCGCTACTAAATATCTCTTCACAGATTCTACAAAAGACAGTGTTTCCAAAATGCTGAATGAAAGGAAAGCTTTAACTCTGTGAGATTAATACACACCTCACAAAGTGGTTTCTCAGGTAGTTTCCTTCTTTTTTATCTTGGTATATTCACTTTTTCTCCATAGGCCTCAATGCGCTCCCAAATATCTCTTTTCAGCTTCTACAAAAAAAGTGTTTCCAAATTGCTGAGTGAAAAGAAAGGTTTAACTCTATGAGACGAATGCCCACATGACAAAGTGGTTTCTCTTTTTGCTTTCTTCTAGTTTTTATCCTGGAATATTTGCTTTTTTGCCATTGGCTTTAATAAGCTCCTAAATGTCCATTCGTAGAATGGACAAAAACAGTATTTCAAAACTTCTGAATGAAAAGACAGTTTTCACTCTGTGACATGAAGGCACGCATCACAAATCAGTTTCTCAGATAGCTTCCTTCTTTTTTATCCTTTATATTCACTTTTTGCATTTAGCCTCAATGCCCTCCCAAAAGTCCATGTGTAGAATGGAAAAATATAGTGTTTCCAAACTGCTGAATCAAAAGGAAAGTTTAACTATGCAAGGTGAATGCACACATCACAAAGAGGTTTCTCAGATAGCTTCCTACTAGTTTTTAACTTGGTAAATTCGATTTTTGCCATTGGCCTCCATGAGATCCCAAATGTCCTTTCACTGAATGAAAAATAAAAAACAGTGTTTCCAAATTGCCGAATCAAAAGAAAGGTTTAACTCTGTGAGTTCAATGCACACATCAGAAAGGAGTTTCACACATAGCTTATTTCTGGTTTTTATCCTGGGATATTTGCATTTTCTGAGAAACTGCTTCATGATGTGTGCCTTCACCTCACAGAATTAAAACTTTCTTTTGATTCAGGAACTTGGAAACACTGTTTTGTCCATTCTGAGAATGGAAATTTGGGAGCTCTTTGAGGCCAAGGCAAATAAGCGTATATCCCATTATAAACAGTAGAAGCAAGCTATCTGAGAAACCATTTTGTGATTTGTGCATTAATCTCACAGAACTAAACCTTTAATTTCATTCAGCAATTTGTAAACACTGCTTTTGTCCATTTTGCCAGTGGGCCTGTGGGAGCTCATTGAGGCCAAAGGCGGAAAAGCGAATATCCCAGGATTAAAACCTATAAGGAATCTCTCTGAGAAACTGCATTGTGAAGTGTTCATTCATCTCACAGAGTTAAGCCTTTCTTTTCATTCAGCAGTTTGGAAACACCGTTTTTGTAGAATCTGCAAAGGGATGCTTGGGAACGCATTGAGGCCTATGGCTAATAATAAAGTATCTTCAGATGAAAACTAGAAAGAAGCTTTCTAAGAAACTGCCATGTAACATGTGCATTCAGCTCTCAGAGTGAAACCTTTCTTTTGATTCAGCAGTATGGAAACACTGTTTTTGTCCATTCTGGGAATGGACATTTGGGAGTGCATTGAGGCCAATGGCAAAAGAGCAAATATCCCAGGATAAAAACTAGAAGGAAGCTATCTGAGAAACCTCTTTGTGATTTGTGCATTCATCCCACAAAGTTAAGCTTTACTTTTCATTCATCAGTTTGCAATCAGTGTTTTTGTAGAATCTGCAAAGAGTTATTTGGGAGTGCATTGAGGTCTATGGTTAAAAAGGAAATAACTTCAGATAAAAACTAGAAAGGAGCTTTGTGAGAAACTGCTTTGTGATGTGTGCATTCATCTCACATAGTTAAACCTTTCTTTGGATTCTGCAGTTTGGAAAAACAGTTTTTGTCCATTCTTTGAATGGACATTTGGGAGCTGATTGGGGCCAAATGTGGAAAAGGGAATATCCCAGGATAAAAACAAGAAGGAAGGAATCTCAGAAGCTGCTTCGTGATGTGTGCATTCATCTCGCAGAGTTAAACCTTTCTTCTCATTCAGCAGTTTGGAAACACTGTTATTGTAGAATCTGTGAAGGCATACTTAAGAGCGCATTGAGTCCTAGGGTGAAAAAGGAAATATCCTCAGATAAAAAATAGAAAGAAGCTTCCTTAGGAAATACTTCGTGATTTCTGCATTCATCTCACAGACATAAGCCTTTCTTTTGATTCATCGGTTTGTTAACACTTTTTTTGTCCATTCTGCAAATGGACATTTGGGAGGTGATTGGGGCCAATGGTGAAAAAGTGCATATCCCAGGTAAAAACTGGAAGGAAGATATCTTAGAAACTGCTTTGTGATGTGTGTATTCATCACACAGAGTTAAACATTTTTTTTTCATTCTAGGGTTTGGAAACACTATTTTTAAAGTAATTTCGAAGGGATATTTTGGTGCACCATAATTCCTATGGTGAAAAAGGAAATATATTCAGATTAAAAACTATGAAGAAGCTTTCTGAGAAACCGCTTTGTGATGTGTGCATTCATCTAGCATAGTTAAACCTTTTTTTCATTCAGCAGTTTGGAAAAACTGTTTTTGTAGAATCTTCAAAAGGGTATTTGGAAGCACACTGAGGCCTGTTGTGAAAAAAGATACGTTGTAGGTAAAAACTAGAAAGAAGCTTCTGATAAACTTCTTTTCGATGTGTGCATTAATCTCACAGAGTAAAACTTTGGTTTGGATTCAGCAGTGTGGAAACACTGTTTTTATCCATTCTGTGACTGGAAAATTGGGATCACATTGAGGTCAATGGTGAAAAAGGAAATATCTTCAAATAAAAACTAGGAAGAAGCTTTCTGAGACACTACTTTGTGTTGTGTGCATTCATCTCACCGATTGCAACCTTTTTTGGATTCAGCAATTTGGAAACACAGTTTTTCGTAGTAGTAATGGACATTAGAGAGATCTTTGAGGCCAATAGCAAAGAAGGAAATATCCCAAGATAAAATCTATAAGTAAGCTATCTTAGAAACTGCTATGTGATGTGTGCATTCATCTCACAGAATTAAAACGTCTTAGGATTCAGCAGTTTGGAAACACTCTTTTTGTCCTTATGCAAATAGACATTTGGGAGCTCAGAAAGGCCAATGGCAAAAAAGTGAATATCCCAGGATAAAAACTAGGAGGCAGCTATCTGAGAGACCGCTTGTGATGTGTACATTCATCTCACAGAGATAAACATTTCTTTTCATTCAGCAGTTGGAAACACTCTTTTTGTAGAATATGTGAAGGGATATAAGGGAGTGCATTGAGGCCTGTGGTGAAAAAAAAAACTTCTGATAAAAATTGGAAATATACTTCCTGAGTAACTGCTTTGTGATATGTGCATTCATCTCACAGATTTATACCTTTCTTTGGATTCAGAAGTTTGGAAACCCTGTTTTGTAGAATCTGCAAAGGGATATTTGGGATCGCATTGAGGCCTATGGTGAAGAAGGAAATATCTTCAAATAAAAACTAGAAAGATGCTTTCTGAAAAACCACTTAGTCATGTGTGCAATCATCTCTCAGATTTCAACTTTTCTTTGGATTTAGCAGTTTGGAAAAACTCTTTTTGTCCATTATGGGAATGCACATTTGGGAGATCCTGAGGCCAGTGGCAAAAAAGTGAATATCCCAGGATAAAAACTATAAGAAGCTACCAGAGAAATTGCTTTGTGATTTGCAGTCATCTCACAGAGTTAAATTTTCTTCTGATTCAGGAGTTTGAAACACTGTTTTGTAGTATCTGAAGGGACATTAGGGAGCACATTGATGCCTACGGTGGAAAAGAAAATATCTTCAGATAAAAACGAGAAAGAAGCTTTCTGAGAAACTGCTTTATTGTGTGTGTATTCATCTCAAAGAGTTAAACCTTTCTTTTGATTCAGCAGTTTGGAAATCCTGCATTTGTCCAAATGAACATTTGGGAGCTCATTGAGGTCAATGGAAAAAGAGAATATCCCAGGATAAAAACCAGAAGGAAGCAATCTGAGAGAGCACTTTGTGATTCGTGCATTCATCTTGCAGATTTAAACCTGACTTCATTCAGCAGTTTGCAAAACCTGTTTTTGTAGAATCTGTGAAGGGATATTTGGGAGCCCCTTGAAGTCTATTGTGAAAAACAAAATATCTTCAGATAAAAACTAGAAAGGAGCTTTCTGAGAAACTGCTTTCTGACGTGTACTTTCATTACACAGGGTTAAAATATTTTTTGATTTAAAAGTTTGAAAACACTGTTTTTGTAGAATCTGCAGTAGCATGTTTCTGAGAGCTTTGAGGGCTATAGAAAAAAAGAAACAACTTTAGAAAAAAACTAGATATAAGCTTTCTGAGAAACTGCTTTGTGATGTGTGCATTCATCTCACATAGTTAAACCTTTCTTTGGATTCACCAGTTAGAAAGAGTGTTTTTATAGAAACTTTAAAGTGATATTTCGGAGACCATTGAGGCCTATGGTGAAAAAGGAAACATCTTCAGATAAAAACCAGAGAGAAGCTTTCTGAGAAACTGCATTGTGATGTGTGCATTCTTCTGACAGACTTAAACCTTTCTTTGGATTCATTCGTTTGCAAACACTGTTTTTGTGCATTCTATGAATGAACTTTTGGGAGCTCTTTCAGGCCAAGTGCGAAAAATCAAATATACCACGATAAAAACTAGAAGAAAGCTATCTAAGAAACCGCTTTGTGATGTGTGCATTCATCTCACAGATTTAAACATTTCTTTTCTTTCAGCAGTTTGGAAAAACTGTTTTAGCAGAATCTGCAAAGGGATATTTCAGAGAGCTTTGTGGCCTATGTTGAAAAAGGCAACATATTCAGATAAAAACTAGAAAGATGCTTTCTGAGAAACTGGTGTGTAATGTGTACATTCATCTCATAGACTTAAACCTTTCTTTGGATTCAGTAGTTTGGAAACACTGATTTTGTCCATTCTATGAATGGACTTTTCAGAGCTCTTTCAGGAGAAGGGTGAAAAATTGAATACACCAGGATAAAAACTAGGAGGAAGCTATCTGAGGAACAGCTTTGTGATGTTTGCATTCATCTCACAGAGTTAAACGTTTCCTTCCATTCAGCAGTTTTGAAACATTGTTTTTGTAGAATCTGTAAAGGGATAATTCAGGGACCATTATTGCCTATGGTAAAGAAGGGAACATCTTCAGTTAAAAACTAGATAGAAGCTTTCTGTGAAACTGCTTTGTGATGTGTGAATTCATCTCACTGAGTTGAACTTTACTTTGGATTCAGTAGTTTGGAAAGAGTGTTTTTTTTCACTCTGTGAATGTATATTTGGCAGTTCATTAAGGCCAAGGACAAATAGCAGATATCCAAGGATAAAACTAGATGAAGCTAACTGATAAAGTGCTATGTGATGCGTAAATTCATCTCACAGAGTTAAACTTTCTTTTCATACAGCAGTTTGGAAATTGTGTTTTTGTAGAATCTTCAATGGGATATTTAGAAGAGCATTGATGTCTATGGTGAAAAAGCAAACATCTTCAGATAAAAACTAGAAAGAAGCTTTTTGAGAAACTGCCTTGAGATGTGTGCAGACATCTCACAGATGTAAACCTGTCTTTGGATTCAGCAGTTTGGAAAATCTGTTTTTGTCCATACTGCAAACAGACATTTGGGAGCTCATTGAGGCCAATGGCAAAAAAGGGAATATCCCAGGATTAAAACTAGAAGAAAGCTATCTGAGGAACCGCTGTGTGATGTGAGCATTCATTTCACAGAGTTAAACTTTCCTTTTCATTCAGCAGTTTGGAAACACTGTTTTTGTAGAATCTGCAAAGAGTTATTTCTAGGAGAATTGAGCCTTATGGTGAAATAGGGAAAATCTTCAGATGAAAAAGAGAAAGAAGATTTCTGAGAAACTGCTTTGTGACGTCTGCATTCATCTCAAAGAGCTGAACCTTTCTTTGGATTCATCTGCCTTGAAACACTTTTTTTGTCCACTCAGTGAATGGACATTTGGGGGCTCTTTGGGGCCAAAGGCAAAAATGGGAATAACCAAGGATAAAAACTTGAAGGCAGCTATCAGAGAAACCGCTTTGTGATGTGTGAATTCATCTCACAGAGTTAAACCTTACGTCTTATTCAGCAGTTTGGAAACACTATTTTTGTAGAATCACCAAAGGGATACTTCGGAGACCATTGAGGCCTATGGTGAAATAGGAAATATATTCACAGAAAAACTAGAAAGAAACTTTATGAGAAATTGCTTTGTGATGTGTACATTCAACTCATAGAGGTAAGACTTTCTTTGGATTCATCAGTTATGAAACACGGTGTTTGTTAACTCAGTGAAAGGACTTTTGGGGACACTTTAAGTCCAATGGTGAAAATGGGAATATCACAGAATAAAAACTAGAAGGAAGATACCTGAGAAACTGGTTTGTGATATGTTCATTCATCTCACTGTGTTAAATCATTCTTTTCATTCAGCAATTAGGAAACACTGTTTTCATAGAATCTTCAAAGGGATGATACAGACAGCCTTGAGGTCTATGGTAAAAAAGGAAATGTGTTTAGAGAAAAACAAGAAAGAAGCTTTCTGAGAAACTGCTTTGGGATGTGTGCATTTATCTCACAGACTTCAAGCTTTCTTTGGATTCAGTAGTTTGGAAACACAGTTTTTGTCCATTCTGTGATAGGACAGGTTGGAGCTCTTTGGGGCCAATGGCAAAAAAGTGAATATCCCTGAAAAAAATTAGAAGAAATCTATCTGAGAAACCACTTTCTGATGTGAGCATTCATTTCACAGAGTTAAACCATTCTTTTCATTCAGCTGTTTGGAAACAGTGTTTTTGAAAAGTCTGCAAAGGGACATTTTGGGGAGCATTGACGCCTATGGTGAAAAAGGAAACATCTTCAGAGAAAAACTGGAAAGAAGCTTTTTGAGAAACAGCCTTGTGGTGTGCACATTCAGCTCACAGACTTAAAGCTTTCTTTTGATTCAACAGTATGGAAAATCTGTTTTTGTCCATTCAGCGAATGGACATTTGGAAGATCATTGAGGCCAATGGCCAAAAGGGAATATCCCAGGATTACCACTAGAACGCAGCTATCTGAGAAAACCCTTTGTGATGTGAGTACTCATTTCACAGAGTTAAACTTTTCTTTTCATTCAGCAGTTACAAATCACTGTTTTGTAGAATCTGCAAAGGCATATTTCAGAGAGTATTGAGGCATATGGTGAAATAGGAAACATCTTCAGATAAAAACGAGAAACGAGCTTTCTGAGAACCTTCCTTGTGATGTGTGCATCATCTCACAGAGTTAAACTTTTCTTTGGATTCAGCAGTTTTGCAACACTGTTTTTTTCCCCTCAGCAAAAGGACATTCGGGGGCTTATTGAGGCAAATGGTGAAAACAGGATTAACCCAGAATAAAAACTAGAAAGCAGCTATCTTAGAAATAGCCTTGTGATGTGCACATTCAGCTTACAGAGTTAAAACTTTCTTTTCATTCAGCAGTTTGAAAACACCGTCTTTGTAGAATCTGCAAAGGGATACTTTGGAGAGCATTGAGGACTATGGTGAAAAAGGAAACATCTTCAGTTATAAGCTAGAAAGAACATTTCTGAGAAACTGCCTTGTGATGTGTGCATTCATTATACAGAGTTAAAGCTTTCTTTGGACTCAGCAGTTTGGAAAATCTGTTTTTGTCCATTCTGTGAATGGACATTTGGGAGCTCATTGAGGCCAAGACAGAAAAGATGATATCCCAGGATTAAAACTAGAAGGCAGCTATCTGAGAAACAGCTTTGTGATGTGAGAATTCTTTTCGCAGAGTTAAACCTTTCCTTTCATTGAGCAGTTAGAAGTCACTGTTTTTGTAGAATCATCAAAGGGTTATTTTGGAGAATACTGAGGCCTAAGTTGAAATAGGAAACATCTTCAGATAAAACTGAGAAAGAAACTTTCTGAGAAAGTGCTTAGTGATATGTGCATTCATCTGACAGAGTTAAACTTTTCTTTGGATTCAGCAGCTTTGAAACACGGTAATTGTCAACTCAGTGAATGGATATTTGGGGGCACTTGGAGACCAACTGTGAAAATGGGAATATCCCAGGATAAAAACTAGAAGGAAGATATCTGAGAAACAGCTCTGTGATACGTAAATTCATCTCACAGAGTTAAATCATTTTTTTCCTTCATCAGTTTGGAAACACCGTTTCTGTAGAATCTGCAAAGGGATATTTCTTAGAGCATTGAGGCCTATGGTAAAAATAGGAAACATCTTCAGAGAAAATCTAGAAAGAAGCTTTCTGAGAAACTTCTTTTTGATGCATGCATTCAGCTCACATACATAAAGATTTCTTTGGGTACAGTAGTTTTGAAACATAGTTTTTGTCCATTCTGCGAATGGACATTTTGCAGCTCCATGGGGCCAATGGGGAAAAAGCAAATATCTCTGAATAAAAACTAGAAAGTATCTATCTGAGAAACCTCTTTGTGATGTGAGCATTCATCTCACAGTGTGTAAACATTGTTTTCATTCAGCTGTTTGGAAGGAGTGCTTTTGTAGAATCTGCAAAGGGATATTTTGGAGAGCATTGAGGCCTACAGTGAAAAAGGAACCATCTTCAGTTAAAAACTAGAAAGAAGCTTTCTGAGAATCTGCCTTGTGTTGTGTCCATTTGTCTCACACAGTTAAATCTTTCTTTGGATTCAGCAGTGTGGGAAATCTGTTTTTGTCCCTTATGCGAATGGACATTTTGGAGCTCATTGAGGCCTATGGCAAAAAAGGGGATGTCCCAGGATTAAAACTAGAAGGCAGCTATCTGAGAAACCACTTTGTGATGTGGGCATGCATTTCAGAGCTAAACCTTTCTTTTCATTCAGCACTTAGAAATCACTGGTTTTGTAGAATCTGCAAAGGGATATTTCGCAGAGTATTCAGACCTATGGTGAAAGAGGAAACATCTTCAGATTAAAATGAGAAACAAGCATTCCGAGACACTGCTTTGTGATGTGTGCATTCATCTCACAGAGATAAAGTTTTAATTGGATTTACTAGTTTGGAAAAAGAGTTTTTGTCCATTCTGCGAATGGAGATTTCGGAGCTCTTTGGGGCCGAAGATGATAAAGCAAATATCACTGAAGAAAAGCCAGAAAGAATATATCTGATAAACCAATTTGTGATGTGAGCATTCATTTCACAGTTAAGCCATGGTTTTCACTCAGCTGTTTGGAAGCAGGGTTTTTGTAGAATCTGCAAACGGATATTTTGGGGAGCATTCCGGCCTATGGTGAAAAAGGAAACTTCTTCAGTTAAAAACTGGAAAGGAGCTTTCTGGGAATCTGCCTTGTGATGTGTCCATTCGTCTCACAGAGATAAAACTTTATTTGGAGTCAGCAGTTTGTAAAATCTGTTTTTGTCCATTCTGTGAATGGAACTTTGGGAGCTCTTGGAGGCCAAAGACAAAAAAGGGGATATCCCAAGATGAAAACTAGAAGGCAGCTATCTGAGAAATGGCTTTGAGATGTGAGCATTCATTTCACAGAGTTAAACCTTCTTTTTCATTCAGCAGTTAGAAATCACTGGTTTTGTAGAATCTGCAAAGGTTTATTTTGGAGAGTACTTTGGCCTATGATGAAATAAACATCTTCAGACAAAAACGAGAAATATTCTCTCTGAGAAACTGCTTTGTGGTGGGTGCATTCATCTCACAGAGTGAAACCCTTCTTTGGATTCAGTAGTTTGGAAACACAGTTTTTGTCTGTTCTGCGAGTGGACATTTCAGAGCTCTTTGGGGCCAATGGTGAAAATGCTAATATCCCTGAAGAAAAACTAGAAGGAATCTCTCTGAGAAACCACTTTGTGATGTGAGCATTCATTTCACAGTGTTAAACCAGTCTTTTCATTCAGCTGTCTGGAAACAATATTTTCACAGAATCTGCAAAGTGATATTTCTGTGTGCATTGAGGTCTATGGTGAAAAAGGAAACATCTTCAGTTAAAAACTAGAAAGAATCTTTCTGGGAAACTGCTTTGTGATGTGTGCATTCATTTCACAGACTTAAAGCTTTCTTTGAATTTAGTAGTTTGGAAAAAGTGTTTTTGTCCTTTCTGTGAATGGATATTTCGGAGCTCTTTGGGGCCAATGGTGAAAAAGCAAATACCCCTGAATGAAAACTAGAAGGAATCTCTCTGAGAAACCACTTTGTGATGTGAGCATTCATTTCACAGTTAAACCATTCTTTTCATTCAGCTGTTTGGAAGTATTGTTTTTACAAAATCTACCAAGGGATATTACGGAGAGCATTGAGGCCTATGGTGAAAAAGGAAACAACTTCAGTGAAAAACTAGAAAGAAGCTTTCTGAGAAAATGCTTTCTGATGTGTGCATTCATCTCACAGATTTAAAGCATTCTTGGATTCAGCTGTTTGGAAAATCTGTTTTTCTCCATTCTGCGAATGGACATTTGGGAGCTCATAGAGGCCAATGGCAAAAAAGGGGATATCCCATGATTAAAACTAGAAGGCAGCTATCTGAGAAACAGCTTTGTGATGTGAACATTTATTTCACAGAGTTAAACCTTTCTTTTCATTCAGTAGTTAGGAAACACTGGTTTTGCAGAAGCTGCAAAGAGTTATTTTGGAGTGCATTGAGGCCTGTGAAATAGGAAACACCTTCATATAAAAACGAGAAAGAAACTTTCTGAGAAACTGCTTTTTGGTGTGTGCATTCATCTCAAATAGTTAAACCTTTCTTTGGATTCAGCAATTTTGTCACACTGTTTTTGTCCACTCGGCAAAAGGACATTTGGGTGCTCTTTGAGGCCATTGGAAAAACTGGGAATGACCCAGGATGAAAACTAGAAGGCAGCTATCTTAGAAACTCCTTTGTCACGTGTGCATTCATCTCACAGATTTTAGCCTTCCTTTTCATTCAGCAGTTTGGAAACACTGTTTTCATTGAATCTGGAAAGGGTTAGTTCGGAGAGCAGTGAGGCCTAAGGTGAAATAAGAAACATCTTCAGATTAAAAACTAGAAGGAAACTTTCTGAGAAACTGATTTGTGATTTGTACATTCATCTCACAGAGATAAACATTTCTTTGGATTCAGCAGCGTTGAAACACAGTGTTTGCCAACTCAGCTAATGGACATTTGGGGGCGCTTTGAGACCAACTGTGAGAATGGGAATATCCCAGGATAAAAACCAGAAGGGAGACATCTGAGAAACATCTCCGTGATATTTTCACTCATCTCACAGAGTTGAATCATTCTTTTCATTCAACAATTAGGAAACTTTTTTTTTGTAGTATGTGCAAAGGGATATTTTGGAGAGCATTGAGGCCTATTTCAAAAAAGGAATCACCTTCAGAGCAAATCTAGAAAGAATCTTTCTGAGAAACTGCTTTGTGATGTGTGCATTCATCTCAAAGAGTTAAAGCATCCTTTGGATTCAGTAGTTTGGAAACACAGTTTTGTCCATTCTGTGAATGGTCATTTCAGATATCTTTGGGGTCAAAGGCAAAAAAGCAAATATCCCAGGATAAAAACTAGAAGGAATACGTCTGAGACACTGCTGTGTCATGTGAGCATTCATTTCACAGAGTTAAAGCATTCTTTTCATTCAGCTGTTTGGAAGCAGTGTTTTTACATAATCTGCAAAGGGATATTTCGGAGAGCATTTAGGCCTATGGTAAAAAAGGAAACATCTTCAGTTAAAAACTAGAAAGAAGCTGTCTTAGAAACTCCTTTGTGATGTGTGCATTCAACACAGACTTAAACCTTTCTTTGGATACAGCAGTTGGCAAAATCTGTTTTTGTCCTTTCTGCAAGTGGAGATTTGGACACTCATTGAGGCCAAAGACAAAAAAAGGGGATATCCCAGGATTAAAACTAGAATGCAGCTATCTGAGAAAGGGCTTTGTGATGTGAGCATTCATTTCACAGAGTTAAACCTTTGTTTTCATTCAGCAGTTAGAAATCACTGTTTTTGTAGAATCGACAAAGGGTTATTTCAGAGAGTATTTTGGCCTATGGTGAAATAGGAAACATCTTAAGGTAAAAACGAGAAAGAATCTTTCTGAGAAACTGCTTCATGATGTGTGCATTCATCTTACAGAGTTAAAGCTTTCTTTGGATTCAGTAGTTTGGAAACACAGTTTTTGTCCATTCTGCGAATGGACATTTTGAAGCTCTTTGGGGTCAATGGCGAAAAAGAGAATATCCCTGAATAAAAACTGGGAGGAATCTACCTGAGAAACCGCTGTGTCATCTGAGAATTCATTTCACAGAGTTAAACCATTCTTTCCATTCAGTTGTTTGGAAGCAGTGTTTTTGTAGAATCTGCAAAGGGCTATTTCAGAGAGCATTGAGGGTTATGGTGAAAAATGAAACATCTTCAGTTAAAAACTAGAAAGAAGCTTTCTGAGAATCTGCCTTGTGATGTGTCCATTCATATCACAGAGTTAAAACTTTCTTTGGATTCAGCAGTTTGGAAAATGTTTTAGTCCATTCTGTGAATGGACATATGGGAGATCATTGAGGCCAATGTAAAAAAAGAGCATGTCCCACTATTAAAATTAGAAGGCAGTTATCTGAGAAACCACTTTGTGATGTGAGCATGCATTTCACAGAGTTAAATCTTTCTTTTCATTCACCACTAAGAAATCTCTGTTTATGTAGAATCTGCAAAAGTTTCTTTCGGAGAGTATTGAGGGCAATGGTGAAATAGGAAATATCTTCAGATAAAAATATGGAGGAAGGTTTCTGAGAAACTGCTTTATGCTGTGTGTATTCATCTCATATAGTTAAACCATTCTTTGGATTCAGCAGTTTTGCAACACTGTTTTATTCCACTCAGCAAAAGAACAATTTGGGGCTCTTTGAGGCCAAAGGCAAAAATGGGAATAACCCAGGATAAGAACTACTAGGCAGCTATCTTAGCAACCGCTTTGTGATGTGTGCATTCATCTCAGAGAGTTAAACTTTCCTTTCCACTAAGCAGTTTGGAACAACTGTTTTCCTGGAATCTGCAAAGTGATGCTTCAGAGAGCTTTGAGGCCTATGGTGAAATAGGAAAATTTTTCAGATGAAAACTAGAAGGAAGCTTTCTGAGAAACTGATTTGTGATTTGTGCATTCATCTCACAGATGTAAACGTTTCTTTGGATTCAGCAGCTTTGAAACACAGTGTTTGTCAACTCAGCAAATGGACATTTGGGGGCACTTTGAGACCCACTGTGAAATAAGAATATCCCAAGATTAAAAACTAGAAGGAACATATCTGAGGAACTGCTTTGTGATATGTTCATTCATCTCACATAGTTAAATCATTCTTTTCATTCAGCAAGCTGGAAGCAGTGTTTTTGTAGAACCTGCAAAGGGATATTTCAGAGAGCATTGAGGCCTGTGGTAAAAAAGGAAATATTTTCAGAGGAAAACTAGAAAGAAGCTTTCTGAGAAATTGCTTTGTGATGTTTGCATTCCTCCCACAGTGTTAAAGCATTCTTTGGATTCAGTAGTTTGGAAGCACAGTTTTTTTCCATTCTGCAAATGGACATTTCAGAGCTTTTTGGGGCCAGTGGCGAAAAAGCAAATATCCCTGAATAAAAACTAGAAGGAATCTATCTGAGAAACCACTGGGTCATGTGAGCATTCATTTCACAGAGTCCCACAATTCTTTTCATTCAGCTGTTTCGAAGCAGTGTTTTTACAGAATCTGCAAAGGGATATTTCAGAGAGTACTGAGGGTTATGGTGAAAAACAAACATCTTCAGTTAAAAACTAGAAAGAAGCTCTCTGAGAATCTGCCTTGTGATGTATCCATTCATCTCACAGAGTTAAATATTTCTTTGGATTCAGAACTTTGGAAAATTTGTTTTTGTCCATTCTGTGAATGGACATTCAGGAACTCATTGAGGCCAATGGCAGAAAAAAGGATAGCCCAGGTTTAAAACTAGAAGGCAGCTATATGAGAAACTGCTTTGTGATGTGACCATGTACTTCACAGATTTAAACTTTTCGTTTCATTCAACAGTTAGAAATCACTGGTTTTGTAGAATCTGCAAAGGCTTATTTCCAAGAGTATTGTGGTCTATGGTGAAACAGGGAACACCTTCAGGAAATAGTGATAAAGAAGCTTTCTGAGAAATTGCTTTGAGAGGTGTGCATTCATCTCACAGAGTTAAAGCTTTCTTTAGATTCACTAGTTTGGAAACAGAGTTTTTGTTCTTTCTGGGAATGGATCTTTCGGAGCTCTTTGTGGCCAATGGCTAAAGAGAAAATATCCCTGAAAATCAACTAGAAGGAATCTATCTGAGAAATTGCTGTGTCATGTGGGAATTCATTTCAGAGTTTAAGCATTCTTTTCATTCAGCTGCTATGAAGCAATGCTTTTGTAGAATCTGCAAACAGATATTTCAGAGAGCATTGAGGTCAATGGTGAAAAGAAAACAACTGTTAAAAACTGGAAAGAAGGTTTCTGAGAATCTGCCTTGTGATGTGTCCTTTCATCACACAGAGTTAAAACTCTCCTTGTATTCAGCAGTTTGGAAAATCTGTTTTTTTTCCATTCTGTGAATGGACATTTGGGAGCTGATTGAGGCCAGTGACAAAAAAGGGGATATCCCAGGATTACAGCTAGAAGGCAGCTATCACAGAAACCGCGTTGTGATGTGAGCATGCGTGTCACAGATTTAAACCTTACTTTTCATTCAGCAGTTAGAAATCACGTTTTCGTAGAATCTGCAAAGGCTTATTTCAGAGAGTATTGAGGCCTATGTTGAAATAGGAAACATCTTCAGATTAAAACGAGAAAGAAGCTTTCTGAGAAACAGCTTTGTGATGCATGCATTCATCTCAGAGTATTCAAGCTTTCTTTGGATTCAGTAGTTTGGAAAAAGAGTTTTTGTCCATCCTGAAAATGGACATTTCGGAGCTCTTTGGGGCCAATGGCGAAAAATAAAATATCCCGAATAGAAAATAGAAGGAGTCTATCTGAGAAACTGTTGTGTCAATTCACAGAGTCAAACCAACATTTTCATTCAGCTCTTTAGAAGCAGTGTTTTTACATAATCTGCAAAGGGATATTTTGGAGAGCATTGAGGCCAATGGTGAAAAGGAATCATCTTCTTTTAAAAACTGGAAAAAACCTTTCTGAGAATCTCCTTTGTGATGTGACCCTTAATCTCACAGAGTTAAAACTTTCCTTGTATTCAGCAGTTTGGAAAATCTGTTTTTGTCCTTTCTGAAAATGGACATTTGGGAGCTCATTGAGGCCAGTGGCAAAAAAAGGGATGTCACAGGATTACAGCCAGAAGGCAGGTATCTGAGAAACCACTTTACAATGTGAGCATATATTTCACAGAGTTAAACCTTTCTTTTCATTCAGCAGTTAGAAATCAGTGCCTTTGTAGAATCTGCAATGGCTTACATCGGAGATTATTGATGCCTATGGTGAAATAGGAAACAACTTCACATGAAAATGTGAAAGAAGCTTTCTGACAAACTGCTTTGTGATGTGTGCTTTCATCTCACAGACTTCAAGCTTTCTTTGAATTCAGTAGTTTGGAAACACGGTTTTTTCCATTCTGCGAATGGACGTTTCAGAGCTCTTTGGGGCTAATAGTGAAAAAGCAAATACCCCTGAATAAAAACCAGAAGGAACAGATCTGAGAAACTGCTTTGTGATGTGAGCATTCATTTCACAAAGTTAAACCATTCTTTTCATTCAGCTCTTTGGAAGCAGCACTTTTACAATACCTGCAAAGTGATATTTAGTAGAGCATTGAGTCCTGTGGTGAAAAAGGAAACATTTTCCGTTAAAAACGAGAAAGAAGCTTTCTGAGAAACTGCCTTTTGATGTGTCCATTCATCTCACAGACTTCAAGCTTTTTTTGGATTCAGTAGTTTGGAAGCAGTGTTTTTGTCCTTTCTGCGAATGGACGTTTTGGAGCTCTTTCTGGCCAAAGGCCAAAAAGCAAATTTCCCTGAATAAAAACTGGAAGGAATCTATCTGAGAAACTGTTTTGTGAAGTGAGCATTCATTTCACAGAGTTAAACCATTCTTTCCATTCAGCTGTTTGGAAGGAGTGTTTTTACAGTATCTGTAAAGGGATATTTCAGAGAGCATTGTGGTCTATGGTGAAAAAGGAAATATCTTCAGTTGAAAACTAGAAAGAAGCTTCCCAAGAAACTGCTTTGTGGTGTCTTCATTCATCTCCCAGATGTAAAGCTTTCTTTGGATTCAGCTGTTTGGAAAATCTGTTTTTGTCCATTCTGCTAATGGACATTTTGGAGTTCTTTGAGACCAGTGGCAAAAAAGGGTATATCTCAGAATTAAAATTAGAAGCAGGAATGTGAGAAACGGCTTTGTGATGTGAGCATTCATTTCACAGAGTTAAACCTTCCTTTTCATTCAGCAGTTAGAAAACACTGGTTTTGTAGAATGCGCAAAGGGTTGTTTCGGAGAGTATTTTTGTGTATGGTGAAATAGGAAACATCTTCTGATAAAAATGAGAAAGAAACTTTCTGTGAAACTGCTTTGTGATGTGGGTATTCAACTCGCAGGGTTAAAGCTTTCTTTGGCATCAGTAGTTTGGAAACAGAGTTTTTGTCCATTTTTTGAATGGATAATTCAGAGCTCTTTGTGGCCAATGGCAAAAAAGAGAAGATCCTTGAATAAAAACTAGATGGGATCTATCTGAGAAACAGCTGTGTGATGTGAGCATTCATTTCACAGAGTTATATCATTCTTTTCATTCAGCTGTTTGGAAGCAGTCTTTTTGTAGAAACTACAAAGGGATAATTTGGAGAGCATTGAGGTCTATGGTGAAAAAGAATCTTCTTCTGTTAAAAACTGGAAGGAAGATTTCTGAGAATCTGCCTTGTGATGTGTCCATTCATCTCACAGAGTTAAACCTTTCCTTGTATTCAACAGTTTGGAAAATCTGTTTTTGTGCATTCTGCAAATGGACATCTGGGAGCTCATTGAGGCCAGTGGCAAAAAGGGGATAACCCAGGATTACAGATAGAAGGCAGCTATCTGAGAAACTGCTTTGTGATGTTAGCATGCATTTCACAGAGTTAAATCTTTCTTTTCACTCAGCAGTTAGAAATCAATGTTTTTATAGAATCTGCAAAGGCTTATTTCAGAGAGTACCGAGGGCTACGGTGAAATAGGAAACATCTTCAGATAAAAATGACAAAGAAGCTTTCTGAGAAACTGCTCTGTGATGTGTTCATTCATCTCACAAAGTTAAAGCTACTTTTTTATTCAGTAGTTTGGAAATGGAGTTTTTGTCCATTCTGGGAATGGACAGTTGGGAGCTCTTTGGGGCCAATGGCGAAAAAGAGAATATCCTTGAATAAAAACTAGAAGGAATCTATCTGAGAAACCGCTGTGTCATGTGAACATTCATTTCAAAGAGTTAAACCATTCTTTTCATTCAGCTCTTTAGAAGCAGTGTTTTTGTAGAATCTGCAAAGGGACATTTCAGAGAGCATTGAGGAATACGGTGAAAGGGAAACATCTTCTACTAAAAACTGGAAAAAAGCTTTCTGAGAATCTGTCTTGAGATGCGTCCATTCATCTCATAGCATTAAACCTTTCCTTGTATTTAGCAGTTTGGAAAATCTGATTTGTCCATTCTGCGAATGGACATTTGGGAACTCATTGAGGCCAGGAGCAGAAAAGGGGATATCTCAGAATTAAAACTAGATGTGATGATGTGAGAATCGGTTTTGCAATGTGAGCATTCATTTCTCAGAGTTAAACCTTTCTTTTCATTCAGCAGTTAGAAATCACTGGTTTTACAAGATCTGCAAAGGGTTATTTCGGAGAGTATTGTAGCCTATGGTGAAATAGGAAACACCTTCAGATAAAAAGGATAAAGAAGTTTTCTGAGAAACTGCTTTGTGATGTGTGCATTCATCTCACAGTTAAAGTTCCTTTGGATTCAGTAGTTTGGGAATAGAGTTTTTGTCCATTCTGGGAATGGATGTTTCAGAGCTCTTTGGGGCCAATGGCAAAAATGGGAATATCCCTGAAAAAAAACAAGAAGGAATCTATGTGAGAAACTGCTGTGCCATGTGAGCATTCATTTCACAGTGATAAACCATTCTTTTCATTCAGCTGTTTGGAAGCAGTGTTTTTGTAGTATCGGCAAAAGTATATTTCAGAGAGCATTGAGGCCTATGGTGAAATGGAAGCTTATTCTGTTAAAAACTGGAGAGAAGCTTTCTGAGAATCTGACTAGTGATGTGTCCATTCATCTCACAGAGTTAAACCTTTCCTTGTATTCAGCAGTTTGGAAAATCTGTTTTTGTCCATTCACAGAATGGACGTTTGGGAGCTCATTGAGGCCAGTGGCAAAAAAGGGGATATCCCAGGATTACAGCTAGAATGCAGATATCTGAGAAATTGCATTGTGATGTGAGCATACATTTCCCAGAGTTAAACATTTCTTTTCACTCAGCTGTTGGAAATCACTTTTTTTGTGGAATCTGCAAAGTCTTATTTTGTAGATTATTGAGGCCTATGGTGAAATAGGAAACATCGTCAGATAAAAACGAGATAGACGCTTTCTGAGAAACTGCTTTGTGATGTGCACATTCATCTCACAGAATTCAAGCTTCCTTTGGATTCAGTAGTTTGGAAACACAGTTTTTGTCCTTCCTGTGAATTGAAGTTTTGTAGCTCTTTGGTGGCAATGGCAAAAAAGTGAATATCCATGAATAAAAACTAGAAGGAACAGATCTGAGAAACCACTTTGTGATGTGAGAATTTATTTCACAAAGTTAAACCACTCTTTTCACTCAGCTGTTTGGAAGCAGTGTTTTTACAGAATCTGTAAAGGGATATTTGGGAGAACATTAAGGCCTGGGGTGAAAAAGCATCATCTTCAGTTAAAAACGAGAAAGAAGCTTTTTGAGAAATAGCTTTGTGTTTTGTGCATTCATCTCACAGACTTCAAGCTTTTTTTGGATTCAGTAGTTAGGAAAAAGAGTGTTTGTCCATTTTGTGAATGGACATTTTGGTGCTGTTTCGGGCCAAAGGCCAAAAATTGAATATCCCTGAATAAAAACTAGAAGGAATCTATCTGAGAAACCACTTTGTGATGGGAGCATTCATTTTACAGTGTTAAACCATTCTTTTCATTCAGCTGTTCAGAAGTCGTGTTTTTACAGAATCTGCAAAGGGATATTTGGGAGAGCATTGAGGCCTGTGGTGAAAAAGCAACATCTTCAGCTAAAAATGAGAAAGAAGCTTTCTGAGAAACAGCTTTGTGTTGTGTGCATTCACCTCACAGACTTCAAGCATTTTTTGGATTCAGTAGTTTGGAAGCGGAGTGTTTGTCCATTTTGTGAATGGACATTTCGGTGCTGTTTCTGGCCAAAGGCCAAAAATCGAACATCCCTGATTAAAAACTAGAAGGAATCTATCTGAGAAACTGCTTTGTGATGGGAGCATTCACTTCACAGTATTAAACCATTCTTTTCATTCAGCTGTTTGGAAGCAGTGTCTTTACAAAATCTGCAAAGGGATATTTCTGAGAGCTTTGAGTACTATGGTGGGAAGGAAACAAACTTCTGTTAAAAGATGGAAAGAAGCTTTCTGAGAATCTGCCTTGTCATGTGTCCATTCATCTCACAGAGTTAAAACTTTCTTGTATTCGGCAGTTTAGAAAATCTCTTTTTCTCCATTCTATGAATGGACATTTGGGAGCTCATTGACGCAAATGGAAAAAAAGGGGATATCCCAGGATTACAGCTAGAAGGCAGCTATCTGAGAAACAGCTTTGAGATGTGATCATGCATTTCACAGAATTAAAATATTCTTTTCATTCACCTCTTTAGAAGCAGTGTTTTTGTAGAATCTGCAAAGTGATATGTCAGAGAACATTGAGGCTTATGATGAAAAGGAAACATCTTCTAATAAAAACTGGAGAGAAGCTTCATGAGAATCTGCTTTGTGATGTGTCCATTCATCTCACAGAGTTAAACCTTTCCTTGTATTCAGCAGCTTGGAAAATCTGTTTTTTAACATTCTGTGTATGGACATTTGGGAGCTCATTGAGGCCAGTGGCAAAAAAGGGAATATCTCAGGATTAAAACTAAAAGACAGGTATGTGAGAATCAGCTTTGCGATGTGAGCATGCATTTCATATAGTTAAACCTTTCTTTTCATTCAGCAGTTAGAAATTACTGGTTTTGTAGAATCTGCAAAAGGTTTTCTCAGAGAGTATTGTGGCCTATGGTGAAATAGGAAATATCTTCAGATAAAAACGAGAAAGAAGCTTTCTGAGAAAGTGCTTTGTGATGTGGGCATTCATCTCACAGAGTTAAAGCGTCCTTTGGATTCAGTAGTTTGGAGGCAGAGTTTTTGTCCATTCTGCAGATAGACATTTCAGAGCTCCTTGGGGCCAAATGCCAAAAAGTGAATATCCCTGAATAAAAACTATAAGGAATCTATCTGAGAAACAGCTTTGTGATGTGAGCATTCACTTCACAGAATTAACCCATTCTTTTCTTTCAGCTGTTTGGAAGCAGTGTTTTTACAGAATCTGCAAAGGGATATTTCAGTGAGCATTGAGGTCAATGGTGAAAAAGGAAACATCTTCAGTTAAAAACTAGAAAGAAGCTTTCTGGGAAACTGCTTTGTGACGTGTGCATTCATCTCACAAAGGCAAAGCTTTCTTTGGATTCAGTAGATTGGAAGCAGAGTTTTTATCATTCTGTGAATGGACATATTGGAGCTCTTTGGGGCCAATGGCAAAAAAGTGAATGTCCCTGAATAAAAACTAGAAGGAATCTATCTGAAAAACTGCTGTGTCATGTAAGTGTTCATTTCACAGAGGTAAACCATTATTTTCATTCATCTCTTTAGAAGCGGTGTTTTTGTAGAATCTGCAGAGTGATACTTCAGATAGCATTGAGGCATATGGTGAAAAGGAATCGTCTTCTAATAAAAACTGGAAAGAAGCTTTCTGAGAATCTGCCTTGTGATGTGTCCATTCATCTCACAGAGGTAAAATTTTCCTTGTGTTCAGCAGTTTGGAAAATATGAGTTTTACCGTTCTGTGAATGGACATTTTTGGGAGCTCATTGAGGCTGGTGGCAGAAAAGGGGATACCTCAGGATTAAAAGTAAAATGTATGTAAGAATCAGCTTTGTGATATGTGCATGCATTTCACAGAGTTAAACCTTTCTTTTCATTCAGCAGTTAGAAATCAATGATTTTGTAGAATCTGCAAAGGGTTATTTCAGAGAGTATTGTGACCTATGGTGAAGTAAGAAATATCTTCAGATAAAAACGAGAAATAAGCTTTCTGAGAAAGTGTTTTGTGACTTGGGCATTCATCTCACAGAGTTAAAGCTTCCTTTGGATTCAGTATTTTGGAGGAAGAGTTTTTGTCCATTCTGCGAATGGACATTTCGGAGCTCTTTGTGGTCAAATGCCAAAAAGGGAATATCCCTGAATAAAAACTAGAAGGAACCTATCTGAGAAACTGCTTTGTGATTGAGCATTCATTTCACAGTGTCAAACCATTCTTTTCATTCAGCTGTTTGGAAGCAGCGTTTTTTGTTTTTTTGTTTTTGTTTTTGTTTTTTTTTTTTTTTAACATATCATCCCTTTCAGCTTTATTTTTTTTTTGTATTTTTTTATTATACTTTAAGTTTTAGGGTACATGTGCACATTGTGCAGGTTAGTTACATATGTATACATGTGCCATGCTGGTGCGCTGCACCCACTAACTCGTCATCTAACATTAGGTATATCTCCCAATGCTATCCCTCCCCCCTACCCCCACCCCACAACGGTCCCCAGAGTGTGATATTCCCCTTCCTGTGTCCATGTGATCTCATTGTTCAATTCCCACCTATGAGTGAGAATATACACTGTTTGGTTTTTTGTTCTTGCGATAGTTTACTGAGAATGATGATTTCCAATTTCATCCATGTCCCTACAAAGGACATGAACTCATCATTTTTATGGCTGCATAGTATTCCATGGTGTATATGTGCCACATTTTCTTAATCCAGGAAGCAGCGTTTTTAAAGTATCTGCAAAGGGATATTTCAGAGAGCACTGAGGCTGATGTAGAAAAAGGAAACATCTTCAGTTAAAAACTAGAAAGAAGCTTTCTGAGAAACTGCTCTGTGATGTGTGCATTCATTTCACAAGGGTAAAGCTTTCTTTGGATTCAGCAGGTTGGAAAATCTGTTTTTCACCTTTCTGTGAATGGACGTTTGGGAGCTCATTGAGGCCAGTGGCAATAAAGGAGATATCTCAGGGTGAAAAATAAAAGACAGGAATGTGAGAATTGGCTTTGTGATGTGAGCATTCATTTCACAAAGTTAAACCTTTCTTTTCATTCAGCAGTTAGAAATCACTGGTTTTGTAGAATCTGCAAAGGCTTATTTCCGAGAGTATTGGGGCCTATGGTGAAATAGGAAACAACTTCAGATAAAAACGAGAAAGAAGCTTTCTGAGAAACTGCTTTGTGATGTAGGTATTCATCTCACAGACTTAAAGCTTCCTTTGGATTCAGTAGTTTGGAAGCAGAGTTTTTGTCCATTCTGTTAATGGACATTTCAGAGCTCTTTGTGGACAATGGTGAAAAAGAGAATATCCCTGAATGAAAACTAGAAGAAGTCCATCTGAGAAACAGCTGTGTCATGTGGACATTCATTTCAGAGAGTTAAACCATTGTTTTCATTCAGCTGTTTAGAAGCAGTGTTTTGGTGGAATCTGCAAAGGCTTATTTTGGAGAGCATTGAGGCCTGTGGTGAAAAGGAAAAAAAACTTCTGTTAAAAACTAGAAAGAAGCTGTCTGGGAATGTCTTGTGATGTGTCCATCCATCTCACAGAGTTAAACTTTTCCTTTTTTCAGCAGTTTGGAAAATCTCTTTCTGTCTATTCTGCAAATGGATGTCTGGGAGCTCATTGAGGCCAGTGGCAAAAAAGGGGATATCCAAGGATTTCAGCATGAAGGCAGCTATCTGAGAAACCACTTTGTGATGTAAGCATGCATTTCACAGAGTTTAACCTTTCTTTTCATTCAGCAGTTA
Source organism: Homo sapiens (assembly GCF_000001405.40). Classification (NCBI taxonomy): domain Eukaryota; kingdom Metazoa; phylum Chordata; class Mammalia; order Primates; family Hominidae; genus Homo; species Homo sapiens. The sequence goes on from NW_011332694.1 coordinate 321,919, forward strand.
GAAATCACTGTTTTTTTTTTAATCTGCAAAGGCTTATTTCGGAGAGTATTGAAGCCTATGGTGAAATAGGAAACATCTTCAGATAAAAATGAGAAAGAAGCTTTCTGAGAAACTGCTTAGTGATGTGTGTATTCAACTAAGAGACTTCAAGCATTCTTTGGATTCAGTAGTTTGGAAGCACAGTTTTTATCCATTCTGTGAATGGACATTTTGCAGCTCTTTGGGGCCAATGTTGAAAAAACGATTATCCCTGAATAAAAACTAGAAGGAACCAATCTGAGAAACCAGTTTATGATGTGAACATTCATTTTGCAAAGTTAAACCATTCTTTCCATTCAACTGTTTGGAAGCAGTATTTTTACACAATCTGCAAAGTGATATATCAGAGAGCATTGTGGCCTGTGGTGAAAAAGGAAACATCTTCAGTTAAAAACTACAAAGAAGTTTTCTGAGAAACTGCTTTGTGATGTGTGCATTCATCTCACAGACTTCAAACTTTTTTGGGATTCAGTAGTTTGGAAACAGAGTTTTTATCCGTTCTGCAAATGGACATTTCAGAGCTCTTTGGGGCCAATGGCCAAAAAGCAAATATCCCTGAATAAAAACTAGGAGGAATCTATTTGAGACACTGCTTTGTGATGTTAGCCTTCATTTCACAGAACTAAACCATTCTTTTCATTCTGCTGTTTCTAAGCAGTATTTTTACAGAATCTGCAAAGGGATATTTTGGAGATCATTTAGGCCTATGGTGAAAAAGGAACATCTTCAGTTTAAAACTAGAAAGAAGCTTTCTGAGAAACTGCTTTGTGATGTGTGCATTCATCTCACAGAGTTAAAGCTTCCTTTGGATTCAGTAGTTTGGAAAATCTGTTTTTGTCCATTCTGCGAATGGACATTTGGGAGCTCTTTGAGGCCAGTTCCAAAAAAGGGTATATCTCAGGATTAAAACTAGAAGACAGGTATGTGAGAAACGGCTTTGTGATGTGAGCATTCATTTCACAGAGTTAAACCTTTCTTTTCATTCAGCAGTTAGAAATCACTGGTTTTGTACAATCTGCAAAGGGTTGTGTCAGAGAGTATTGTGGCTTATGGTGAAATAGGAAACATCTTCAGATAAAAATGAGAAAGAAGCTCTCTGAGAAACTGCTTGGTGATGTGTGCATTCATCTCAGACACTTCAAGCTTTTTTTGCATTTAGTAGTTTGGAAGCAGAGTTTTTGTCCATTCTGTGAATGGACATTTCAGAGCTCTTTGGGGCCAAAGGCCAAAAAGTGAATATACCTGAATAAAAACTAGGAGGAATCTATATGAGAAATTGCTTTGTGATGTAAGCATTCATTTCACAGTGTTAAACCATTCTTTTCATTCGTCTGTTTGGAAGCAGTACTTTTACAGAATCTGCAAAGGGATATTTCAGAGAGCATTGAGGCCTACAGTGAAAAAGCAAACATCTTCAGTTAAAAACTAGAAAGAAGCTTTCTGAGAATCTGCCATGTGATATGACCATTCGTCTTACAGAGTTAAGCCTTTCCTTTTATTCAGCAGTTTGGAAAATCTGTTTTTGTCCATTCTGCGAATGGACATTCAGGAACTCATTGAGGATGGTGCAAAAAAGGGGATATCTCAGGATCAAAACTAGAAGATAGGTATGTGAGATTCAACTTTTTGACGTGAACATTCATTTCAGAGATTTATACCTTTCTTTTCATTCAGCAGTTACAAATCACTGGTTTTGTAGGATCTGAAAAGGGTCATTTTGGAGAGTTTTCTGGCCTATGGTGAAATATTAAACATCTTCAGATAAAAACGAGAAAGAAGCTTTCTGAGAAACTGCTTTGTGTTGTGTGCATTCATCTCACAGAGTTAAAGCTTCCTTTGGATTCAACAGTTTGGAAGGAGAGTTTTTGTCCTTTCTGCGAATGGATATTTCAGAGCTCTTTTGGGCTAATGGCCAAAAAGTGAATATCCCTGAATAAAAACTAGATGGAATCTATCTGAGAAACTGCTGTGTCATGTGAGCATTCATTTCACAGAGTTAAACCATTCTTTTCATTCAGCTGTTTGGAAGCAGTGTTTTTGTAGAATACTCAAAGGGCTATTTTGGAGAGCATTGAGGCCTATGGTGAAAAGGAAATATCTTCTGTTAAAAACTGGAAAGAAGCTTTCTGAGAATCTGTCTTGTGATGTGTCCTTTCATCTCATAGAGTAAACGTTTCCTTGTATGCAGCACTTTGGAAAATCTGTTTTTGTCCATTCTGCATGTGGACATTTGGGAGCTCTTTGAGGCCAGTGACATAAAAGGGGATATCCCAGGATTACATCTAGAAGGCAGCTATCTGAGGAAGCTCTTTGTGATGTTAGCTTGTATTTCACAGAGTTAAACCTTTCTTTTCATTCAGCAGTTAGAAATCACTGTTTTTGTAGAATCTGCAGAGAGTTATTTTGGAGAGTTTTGTGGCCTATGGTGAAATAGAAAATGTTTTCAGATAAAAATGACAAAGAAGCATTCTGAGAAACTGCTTTATGTGTGTCTTCATCTCACAGGTTTAACGCTTTCTTTGAATTCAGTAGTGTGGAAACACAGGTTTTGTTCATTCTGTGAATGGACATTTCATAGCTCTTTGGGGCCAATGGTGAAAAAGTGAATATCCCTGAATAAAAACTAGAAGGAATCAATCACAGAAACCATTGTGTCATGTGAACATTCATTTCATAGATTTAAACCATTATTTTCATTCAGCTGTTAGGAAGCAGTTTTTTTGTAGAATCTCCAAAGTGATATTTCAGAGAGCATTGAAGCCTATTGTGAAAAAGAAAACAACTTCTGTTAAAAACTGGAAAGAAGCTTTTTGAGAATCTGCCTTGAGATGTGTTCATTCATCTCACAGTGTTAAACTTTTCTTTGGATTCAGCATTTTGGAAAATCTGTTTTTGTCCATTCTGTGAATTGACATTTCGGAGCTCATTGAGGTCAGTGGCAAAAAAGGGAATATCCCAGGATTAAAATAAGAAGACAGCTATCTAAGAAATGGCTTTGTGACATGGGCATGCATTTCACAGATTTCAGCTTGTCTTTTCATTCAGCAGTTAGAAATCCCTGTTTTTGTAGAATCTGCAAAGGGTTATTTCGTAGAGTATTGAGGCCTATGGTGAAATAGGAATCATCTTCAGATAAAAAGGAGAAAGAAGCTTTCTGAGAAACTGCTTCATGATGTGTGCATTCATCTCACAGTCTTAAAGCTTTCTTTTGATTTAGTAGTTTGGAAACACAGTTTTTGTCTGTTCTGAGAATGGACATTTCAGACCTCTTTGGGACCAATAGCAAAAAAGTGAATATCCCTGAATAAAAACTAGAAGAAATCTATTTGAGAAACTGCTTTTTGATGTGAGCATTCATTTCGTAAAGTTAAACCATTCTTTTCATTCAGCTGTTTGGAAGCAGTGTTTCTATGGAATCAGCAAAGCAATATTTCAGAGAGCATTGGAGCCTATGTTGAACAAGCAAATATCTTCCATTACAAACTAGAAAAAGCTTTCTGAGGAACTGCTTTGTGATGCATTCATTGATCTCACATACTTAAAGCTTTCTTTTTATTTAGTAGTTTGGAAACAGATTTTTGTCCATTCTGCAAATGGACGTGTTGGAGCTCTTTGGGGCCAAAGGCGAGAAATGGAATATCCCTGAATAAAAACTAGAAGGAATCTCTCTCAGAAACTGCTTTGTGATGTGAGCATTCATTTCACACAGTTACACCATTCTTTTAATTCATCTGTTTGAAAGCATTGTTTTTACAGAACATGCAATGGGATATTTTGGAGAGCATTGAGTACTACGGTGAAAAAGGAAACATCTTTAGTTTAAAACTAGAAAAAAGCTTTCTGAGAAACTGCTTTGTGATGTGTGCATTCATCTCACAGACTTACAGCTTTCTTTGGGTTCAGCAGTTTGGAAAATATGTTTTTGTCCATTCTGTGAATGGACATTTGGGAGCTCTTTGAGGCCAATGGCAAAAAAGGGGACATCCCAGGATTAAAACTAGAAGACAGCTATGTGAGAAATGACTTTGCAATGTGAGCATTCATTTCACAAAGTTAAAACTTCCTTTTCATTCAGCAGTTAGAAATCACTTGTTTTGTAGAATCTACAAAGGGTTATTTTGGAGAGTATTGTGGCCTATGGTGAAGTAGAAATCATCTTCAGATAAAAACGAGAAAGAAACTTTCTGAGAAACTGCTTTGTGATGTGCGAATTCATCTCACAGAGTTAAAGCTTCGTTTGGATTCAGTAGTTTGGAAAAATCTGTTTTTCTCCATTTGGCAAATAGACATTTGGGAACTCTTTGAGGCCTATGGTAAAAAGGGAATATTCCAGTATTAAAACTAGAAGGCAGGTATCTGAGAAACTGCTTTGTGATGAGAGCATTCATTTCACAGGCTTAAACCTTTCTTTTCAGTCAGGTGTTTGGAAACAGTGTTTTTGTAACATCTGCAAAGCTATGTTTTGGAGATCCTTGAGGCGTGCGGTGAAATAGGAAACATCTTCAGATAAAAATTAGAAAGAAGCCTTCTGAGAAACTGCTTTGTGAGGTGTGCATTCGTCTCACAGAGTTAAACCTTTCTTTGGATTCAGCAGTTTTGAAACACGGTGTGTGTCAACTCAGTGAATGGACATTTAAAGCGCTTTGAGGCCAACTGTGAAAATCGGAATATCCAACGACAAAAACTAGAAGGAAGGTGTCTGAGAAACTGCTCTGTGATATGCTCATTCATCTCACACAGTTAAATCATTTTTTTTCATTCAGCAATTTAAAACCCTGTTTTTGTACAATGTGCAAAGGGATATTTTGGAGAGCATTGAGGCCTATGGTAAAAGAGGAAATGTCTTCAGAGAAAAACTAGAAAGAAACTTTCTGAGAGACTGCTTTGTGAAGTGTCCATTCATCTCACAGACTTAAAGCTTTCCTTAAATCCAGTAGTTTGGAAACACAGCTTTTGTCCATTCTGTGAAAGGACATTTCGGAGCTCTTTGGTACCAATGGTGAAAAAGCAAATATCCCTAAATAGAAACTAGAAGTAATCTATCTGAGAAGCTGCTTTGTGATGTGAGCATTCATTTCACAGAGTTAAACCATTATTTTCATTCAGCTCTTCGGAAATAGTGATTCTGTAGAATCTGCAAATGTATAGTTCAGAGAACATTGAGGTCTATGGTGAAAAAGGAAATATCTTCAGTTAAAAATTAGGGAGAAACTTTCAGATAAATGGCCTTGTGAAGTCTGCATTCATCACACAAATTTAATCATTTCTTTTGATTCAGCAGTTTGGAAAATCTGTTTTTGTCCATTCTGTGAATGGAAATTTTGGAGCTCATTCAGTTCACTGACAGAAAAGGGAATATCCCAGGATTAAAACTAGAAGGCAGCTGTCTGAGAAACTGCTTTGTGATGTGAGCATTCATTTCACAGATTTAAAACTTTCTTTTCATTGAGCAGTTAGAAATCATTGTTTTTGTAGAATCTGCAAACGGTTATTTCGGAGAGCATGAGTCCTATGATAAAAAAGGAACCATCTTCATGAAAAACTAGAAAGAAGCTTTCTGAGATACTGCCTTGTGATGTGTGCATTCATCTCACAGAGATAAACTTTTCTTTGCATTCAGCAGTTTTGAAACACTGTTTTTGTCCACTCAGTGAATGGACATTTGGGATCCAATTGAGGCCAAAGGCAAAAAAGGGAATATCCCAGGATGAAAAACTAGAAGGAAGCTATCTGAGAAATCACTTTGTGATATGTGCATTCATCTCATAGTGTTAAAACACGCTTTCCATACAGCAGCTTGAGAACTCTGTTTTTGTGGAATCTGGAAAGGGATATTTCAGAGTGCTTTGAGGCCTATGGTAATAAAGGAAACCTCTTCAGATAAGAACAAGAAAGAGGCTCTCTGAGAAACTGCTTTGTGATGAGTGCATTCATTTCACAGAGTTAAGCCTTTCTCTGGATTCACTAACTTGCAAAGAGTGTTTTTTTCCATTCTGCGAATGGATATTTTGTACTTCGTTGAGGCCAATGGCAAGAAAGCTAATATGCTAGAATAAAAACTAGAAGGAAGCTATCTGAAAAACTGATTTGTGATGTGTGTATTCATATCGCAGATCAAAGCTTTATTTTTGTACAGCAGTTGGCAAACTGTGTTTTGTAGATTCTGCAAAGGGATATTTTGGAGAACATTGAGGCCCATTGTGAAAAGGAAACATCTGCAGATAAAAACTGGAAAGAAACTTTCTGAGAAACTGCCTTGTGATGTGCGCACTCATCTCATAGGGTTAAACCTTTCATTTCAACATGTAGTTTGGAAACACTGTTTTTGTGGAATCACAAAGGGATAATTCAGAGAGCATTGAGGCCTGTGGTGAAATAGGAAACATCTCCAGAGAAAAATGAGAAAGCAGTTTTCTGAGAAACTGCTTTGTGATGTGTCCATCTCACAGAGGTAAATGTTTCTTTGCATTCAGCAGTTTGAAACACGTTGTTTATCAACTCAGCAAATGGACATTTGGGTGCAGTTTGAGGTCAATTGTGAAAATGGGAATACCCCAGGATAAATACCAGAAGGAACATATCCAAGAAACGGCTTTGTGGTATGTTCATTCATCTCACAGAGCTAAATCATTCTTTTCATTCAGCAATTTGGAAAGACTGTTTTTGTAGAATCTGCAAAGGGATATTTCAGAGAGCACTGAGGCCTATGGTAAAAAAGGAAACATCTTCAGAGAAAAACTAGAAAGAAACTTTCTGAGAAAATGTTTTGTGATGTGTGCATTCATCTCACAGACTTAAATCTTTCTTTGGATTCAATAGTTTGGAGACAAAGTTTTTGTCCATTCTGCAAATGGACACTTTGGAGCCTTTTGGGGCCAATTGTGAAAAAGTGAATATCCCTGAATAAAAACTAGAAGAAATGTAGCTGAGAAACAACTTTGTGATGTGAGCATCCATTTCACAATGTTAAACCATTATGTTCATTCAGCTGTTTAGAAACAGTGTTTTTGAAGAATGTGCAAATGTATATTTTGGAGAGCATTGAGGCTTATGGTGAAAAAGGAAATATCTTCAGTTAAAAACCAGAAAGAAGCTTTCTGAGAAACTTCCTTGTGACGTGTGCACTCATCCCACAGAATTAAACCTTTCTTTGGATTCAGCAGTTTGGAAAATCTATTTTTGTCCATTCCGTGAATGGACTTTGGAGCTCGTTGAGGCCAATGGCAAAAAAGGGAATATCCCAGGATTAAAACTAGAAGGCTGCTATCCGAGAAACTTCTTTATGATGTAAATATTTATTTCGCAGAGTTAAATCTTCCATTTCATTCAGCAGTTAGGAATCACTGTTTTTGTAGAATCTGCAAAGGGTTATTTCAGAGAGTACCGATGCCTATGGTGAAATAAGAAACATCTTTGGATAAAAACTAGAAAGAAAATTTCTTAGAAACAGCTTTGTAATGTGTGCATTCATCTCGCAGATTTAAACCTTTGCTTTTACTCAGCAGTTTTGAAACACTGTTTTTGTCCACTGATCGAATGGACATTTTGCAGCTCATTGAGGCCAATGGCAAAAAAGGGAATAACAGATGATAAAAACTAGAAGAAAGGTACTTGAGAAAGAGCTTTGTGATGTGTTCATTCATCTCACAGATTTAAAACACGATTTTCATACAGTAGTTTGGAAACACTGTTTTTGCTGAAGCTGCAAAGTGATATTTAGAAGAGCATCGAGGCCTATCATAAAAAAGGAAACATCTTCAGATAAAAAGTAGAAAGAAGTTCTCTGAGAAACTGCTTTGTGATGTAAGCATTCATCTCACAATGTTAAACATTTATTTGAATTCAGTAATTTGGAAAGACTGTTTTTGTCCATTCTGTGAAAGGACATTTTGTTCTTTGCTGATGCCAAAGGCGAAAAAACTGATGTCCTAGAATGAAAACTAGAAGGAAGCTATCTGAGAAACTGCTTTGTGATGTGTGCATTCACCTAGCAGATTTAAAGCTTTCTTTTCATACAGCAGTTTGGAGACGGTGTTTTGTAGAATCTGTGAAGGGATACTTTGGAGAGCATTGAGGCCTACGGTAAAAAAGGAAATATCTTCAGATAAAAAGTACAAACAAACTTTCTGAGAAACTGCCTTGTGATGTTTGAGTTCATCTCACAGAGGCAAACTTTTCTTTGGATTCAGCAGCTTGGAAAATTTGTTTTTGTCAATTCTGCAAATGGACATTTGGGAGCTAATTGGGACAAATGGCAATAAAGGTAATATCCCAGGATTAAAACTAGAAGGAAGCTATCTGAGGAACCGCATTGTGATGAAAGCATTCATCTCACAGAGATAAACCTTTCTTTTCATCAACAGTTTGGAAACACTGTTTTTGTAAAATCTGCAAGGGGTTATTTCGCAGAGTATTGAGGCCTACAGTGAAATAGGAAACATCGCCATATGAAAACTAGAAATATTTCTGAGAAACTGCTTTGTGTCATGTGCATTCATCTCATAGAGTTAAACCTTCTTTGTATTCAGCAGTTTTCCAACACTGTTTTTGTCCATTCAGTGAAAGGACATTTGGGGGCTCTCTGAGGCCAAAGGCGAAAATGGGAATAACCCATTATAAAAACCAGAAGGCAGCTATCTTAGAAACCACTTTGTGATGTGCACATTCATCTCACAGAGTTAAACCTTCCTTTTCATTCAGCAGTTTGGAAACACTGTTTTCATAGAATATGCAAAGGGATACTTCAGAGAGCATTGAGGCCTATGGTGGAATAGGAAACATCTTCAGATAAAAACTAGAAAGCTTTCTGAGAAACTGCTTTGTGATGTGTGCATTCATCTCACAGAGTTAAATCTTTCTTTGGATTCAGCAGCTTTGAAACACAGTGTTTGTTAACTCAGTGAATAGACATTTTGGGGTGCTTTGAGACTCACTGTGAAAATAGGAATATTCCAGGACTAAATATCCAGGGAATATCCCTGGGCTAAGACAGTTTTTCAAAACTCTTGAATCCAATTAAAGGCTTACCTCTGGGAGATGAATGCATACATCACAACGCTGTTTCTCAGAAAGCTTCTTTCTAGTTTTTATCAAGATGTCTCGTTTTTCACCATAGGAGACAATGATATCTGAAATATCCCTTTGCCAATTCTAGAAAACACTGTTTCCATACTGCTGTATGACAAGAAATCTTTAACTCTGTGAGATGAATGCACACATTGCAAAGCAATTTATCATATAGCTTCTTTCTAGTTTTTATTCTAGGATATTAGATTCTACATCATTGGCCTCAACAAAGTACGAAATGTCCATTTGCAGAGAGGACAAAAACAGTTTTTCTAAATTACTGAATGCAAAGAAAGGTTTCACTCTGTGAGATGAATGCACACTTCACAAATCACTTTCTCAGAAAGCTTCTTTCTAGTTTTTCTCTGAAGATGTTTCCTTACTATAGGCCTCAATGCTCTCTGAAACGTCCCCTTACAGATTCTACAAAACACTGTTTCCACACTGCTGTATGAAAAGAAAGTTTTAACTCTGTGAGATTAATGCTCACATCACAAAGCGATTTCTCAGATATCATCTTTCTGATTTTTGTTCTAGGATATTACCTTTTTCGCCATTGCACTCAAAGAAGTACAAAATGTCCAGTCACAGAATGGACAAAGACACTCTTTCCAAATTAATGAATCCAAAGAAAGGTTTAACTCTGTGAAATGAATGTTCACATCACAAAGCAGTTTTTCTGTTTGAATCCTGGGGTATTCCCTTTTTTGCCATTGGCCTCAATGAGCTCCCAAATATCCATTTGCAGAATGGACAAAAAACAAGTTTTCCGAACTGCTGAATCCAAAGAAAGGTTTCACTCTGTGAGATGAATGCACAAATCACAAGGCAGTTTCTCAGAAAGCTTCTTTCTAGTTTTTAACTGATGATGTTTCCTTTTTCACCATAGGCCTCAATGCTCTCCGAAATATCCCTTTGCAGATTCTTCGAAACACTGCTTCCAAACTGCTGTACAAAAAGAAAGCTTTAACCCTGTGAAATGAGTGCTCACATCACAAAGCCGTTTCTCAGATAGATTCCTTCTGGTTTTTATTCTGTGATGTTGGCTTTTTTTGCCATTGACCTCAAAGAGCTCTGAAATATCCATTCACAGAATGGACAAAAACACTCTTTCCAAATTACAGAATCCAAAGAAAGGTTTGACTCTGTGAGGTGAATGCCCACCTGTCAAACCAGGTTCTCAGAAAGATTCTTTCTAGTTTTTTTTAAATTATACTTTAAGTTTTAGGGTACATGTGCACAACATGCATGTTTGTTACTTATGTATACACGTACCATGCTGGTGTGCAGCACCCATTAACTCGTCATTTAACATTAGGTATATCTCCTAATGATAGCCCTCCCCCTCTTCCCACTCCACAACAGTCCCCAGAGTGTGATGTTCCCCTTCCTGTGTCCATGTGTTCTCATTGTTCAACTCCCACCTGTGAGTGAGAACATGTGGCGTTTGGTTTTTTTGTCCTTGCGATAGTTTGCTGAGAATGATGGTTTCCAGCTTCATCCATGTCCCTACAAAGGACATGTACTCATCCTTTTTTATGGCTGCATAGTATTCCATGGTGTATATGTGCCACATTTTCTTAATCCAGTCTATCATTGTTGGACATTTGGGTTGGTTCCAAGTCTTTGCTATTGTGAATAGTGTTGCAATAAACATACGTGTGCATGTGTCTTTATAGCAGCATGATTTATAATCCTTTGGGTATATACCCAATAGTGGGATTGCTGAGTCAAACGGTATTTCTAGTTCTAGTTCCCTGAGGAATCACCACACCGACTTCCACAATGGTTGAACTAGTTTACATTCCCACCAACAGTGTAAAAGTGTTCCTATTTCTCCACATCCTCTCCAGTACCTGTTGTTTCCTGATTTTTAATGATCACCATTCTAAGTGGTGAGACATGGCATCTCATTGTAGTTTTGATTTGCATTTCTCTGATGGCCAGTGATGATGAACATTTTTTCATGTGTTTTTTGGCTGCATGAATGTCTTCTTTTGAGAAGTGTCTGTTCATATCCTTTGCCCACTTTTTGATGGGGTTGTTTGTTTTTTCTTGTAAATTTGTTTGAGTTCATTGTAGATTCTGGATATTAGCCCTCTGTGAGATGAATAGGTTGTAAAAATTTTCTCCCATTTTGTAGGTTGCCTGTTCACTCTGATGGTAGTTTCTTTTGCTGTGCAGAAGCTCTTTAGTTTAATTAGATCCCATTTGTTAATTTTGTCTTTTGTTTCCATTGCTTTTGGTGTTTTAGAAATGAAGTCCTTGTCCATGCCTATGTCCTGAATGGTATTGCCTAGGTTTTCTTCTAGGGTTTTTATGGCTTTAAGTCTAACATGTAAGTCTTTAGTCCATCTTGAATTAATTTTTGTATAAGGTGTAAGGAATGGATCCAGTTTCAGCTTTCTACATATGGCTAGCCAGTTTTCCCAGCACCATTTATTAAATAGGGAATCCTTCCCCCATTTCTTGTTTTTGTCAGGTTTGTCAAAGATCAGATAGTTGTAGATATGGGGCATTATTTCTGAGGGGTCTAGTTTTTATCTGAAGATGTTTCCTTTTTCAATGAAGGCCTCATTTCTCTCTGAAAGAAACCTTTCCAGATTCTTCAAAACAGTTTTTCCAAAATGCTGTATAAGAAGATAGATATGTTAAACTCTTCGTGTTGAATGCACACATCAAAATAGGTTTCTGAGATAGGCTTCATCTAGTTTTTATTCTGGGATATTCATTTTTTTGCCATTGGCCCCAATGAGGTCCCAAATGTCTGTTCACAAAATGGACACAAACAGTGTTTCCAAACAGATGAATCCAAAGAAAAGTTTATCTCTGTGCCATGCATGCACACATCTCAAAGCAGTTTCTCAGAACGCTTCTTTCTAGTTTTATCTGAGATGATTCCTTTTTTAAGATAGGCCTCAATGCTCTGAAATATCCCTTTGCAGATTACACAAAAACAGTTTTTCCAATCTGCTGAATGAAAAGAAAGGTTTAACTCTGTGAGAGGTATGCACACATCCCACAGCAGATTCTCAAATAGCTTAAGTGTACTTTTTATCCTGGGATATTCTATTTTTTGTCACTGGCCTCACTGAGCCCTCAAATGTCCATTAGCAAAATGGACAAAAGCACTCTTTCAACACTACTGAATTCAAAGAAAGTTTTAACTCTGTGAGATGAATGCACACATCACAAAGCAGTTTCTCAGAAAGTTTCTTTTTAGATTTTAACTGAAGATGAATCCTTTTTCACCATAGGCCTCAATACCACAGAAATATCCATTTCCAGATTCAATAAAAAAAGGGTTTCCAAATTACTGAATGAAAAGCATGGTTTAAATTTGTGAGATGAATGCCCACAACACAAAGCAGTTTCTCAGATAGCTTCCTTGTAGTTTTTATTCAGGGATATTCCATTTTTCTCAATTGGCCTCAATGAGTTCCCAAACATCCTTTTGCTAAGTGGACAAAAACAGTGTTTCAAAACTGCTGAATCCATAGAAAGATTTAACTCTCTGAGCTGAATGCACACATCACAAAGCAGCTTCTCAGAAAGCTTCTGTCTAGTTTTCATCTGAAGATGTTTCCTATTTCACCATAGACCTCAATACTCTCCGAAATAACCCTTTGCATATTCTACAAAAATGGTCTTTCCAAACTGCTGAATGAAATAAAAAGTTTATCTCTGTGAAATGAATGCTCACATTGCAAAGTGCTTTCTCAGATAACTTCCTTCTAGTTTTAATCCCGGGATTTTCACTTTTTTGCCATGGCCTCAATGAGCTCCCAAATATCCATTCATAGAATGGACAAAAACAGTGTTTCCAAACTACTCAATGCAAAGAAAGTTTCAAATCTGTGAGGTAAATGCACACATTGCAAAGCAGTTTCTCGGAAAGCTCATTTCTGGTTTTTATCTTAAGATATTTCCTTTTTCATTGTAGTCCTCAATGATCTCCCAAATATCCCTATGCAGATTCAATAAAAACTAAGTTTCCAAAATACTGAAAGAAAAGAAAGATTTAACTGTGTGAGATGAATGCACACATCACATAGCAGTTACACAGATATTTTCCATCTACTTGTTATCCTGGGATATCCCTTTTTCACCATTGGCATAAATGAGCTCCCAAATGGCTGTATGCAGAATGGACAAGAACAGTGTTTCCAAAGTGTTGAATCCAAAGTAACGTTTAACTCTCTGAGATGAATGCACACATCACAAAGCAGTTTCTCTGAAAGCTTCCTTCTAGCTTTTATCTGAAGATGTTTCCTTTTTCACCATAGGCCTCAATGCTCTAAGAAATGTCCCTTTGCAGTTTCTACAAAGACACTGTTTCCAAACTGTTGAATGATAAAGAATGTTTAAATCTGTGAGATGAATGCACACATCACATGGCAGTTTCTCAGAAAGCCTCTGTCTACTTTTTATCCAGGGAAATTCTTTTTTTCTCCATTGGCCTCAATAAGCTCCCAAATGTCCATTAGCAGCATGGACAAAAACATTGTTTCCAAACTACTGAGTCAAAAGAAAAATTTATCTCTGTGAGATGAATGGACACATCACAAAGCAGTTTCTCAGAAAGCTTCTTTCTACTTTTTATCTGAAGATGTTTCCTTTTTCACCATAGGCCTCAATGCTCTCCAAAATATCCCTTTGCAGATCCTACAAAAACACTGTTTCCAAAATGCTGTATGAAAAGTAAGTTTTAACTCTTCGAGATCAATGCACACATCACAAAGCGATTTCTCAGATAGCTTCCTTCTAGTATTTATCCTGGGATATTCGATTTTTCACCGTTAGGCTCAATGAACTCCCAAACTCCCATTCACAGAATGGACAAAAACAGTATTTCCAAAATGCTGAATCCAAATAAAGGTTTAACTCAGTGAGATGAATGCACACATTACAAAGCAGTTTCTCAGAAAGGTTCTTTATACTTTTTATCTGAAGACGTTTCCTCTTCCAGCATATGCCTCAAAGCTCTCTGAAATATGCCTTTACCGATTCTACAAAAACCATGTTTCCAAACTGCAGAATCCAAAGAAAGGTTTAACTCTTTGAGATGAATGCACACATCAAAAAGCAGTTTCTCAGAAAGTTTCTTTCTAATTTTTAGATGAATATGTTTTCTTTTCCAACATAGGCCTCCATGCTCTCCAAAATATCCTGTTGCAGATTCTACAAAAAGAGTGTTTTGAAACAACTGAATGAAAAGTAAGGTTTGACTCTGAGAGATGAATGCACATATCACATAGCCCTTTCTCAGATAGATTCCTTCTAGTGTATATCCTGGGATATTCCCTTTTTTGCCATTGGCCTCAATGAGCTCCCAAATGTCCATTCACAGAATGGAAAAAATAGTGTTTCCAAACTCCTGAATCTAAAGAAAGGTTTAACTCTGTCAGATGAATATACACAGTGCAAAGCAGTTTCTCTGAAATCTTCTTTCTAGTTTTTATCTGTAGATGTTTCCTATTTCACCATAGGCCTGAAGGCTCACCAAAGTATCCCTATGCAGATTCTACAAAAACAGTGTTACCAAACTGTTGAATGAAAAGAGAGGTTGAACTCTGTAAGATGAATGGAGACATCATGAAATGGTTTCTCAGATAGCTTCCTTCGAGTTTTTATCCTGAAATATTCCCTTTTGCACCATGACCTCAATGAGCTCGCAAATGTCCACTTCCAGAAGGAACAAAAACAGTGTTTCCAAACTACTGAATCCAAAGAAAGTTTTAAGTCTGTGAGATGAATGCATGCATCACAAAGCATTTACTCAGGAAATTTCTTTCTAGTTATTTTCTGTAAGTGTTTCCTTTTCCAGCATAGGATGCAATGGTCTCTGAAATATCCCTTTGCAGATTCAACAAAAATAGTTTTCCAAACTGCTGAATCCAAAGAAAGGTTTAACTCTGTGAGATGAATGGACACATCACAAAGCACCTTCTCAGAATGCTTCTTTCTATTTTATCTGAAGATGTATCTTTTTTCACCACAGGCCACAATGCTCTCCAAAATATCCCTTTACAGTTTCTACACAATACTGTTTACAAACTGTTGAATGAACAGAAAAGTTTAAATCTGTGAGATGAATGTACAAATCACATAGAAGATTCTCAGATAGCTTCCATCTACTTTTTTCCAGGGATATTTGCTAATTCCCCATCGGCCTAAATGAGATCAGAAATGACCATTTGCAGAATGGAAGAAAACAGTGTTTCCAAACGGCTGAATCCAAAGATATATTTAACTCTATGAGATGAATGCTGACATCACATAGCAGTCTCTCATATAGCTTCCGTCTTGCTTTTATCCTAGGATATTCGCTAATTCCCTGTTGGCTTCAATGAGCTCCAAAATGTCCATTTGCAGAATGGACAAAAACAATGTTTCCAAACTGCAGAATCCATAGAAAGCTTTAACTCTGTGAGATGAATGTACACATCTTAAAGGAGTAACTCAAAGCATCTTTCTAGTTTTTATTTGAAGATATTTACTTTTCCAGCATAGACCTCAATGCTCTCTGAAAAATCCCTTTGCAGATTCTACAAAAGCAATGTTTCCAAACTGCAAAATCCAAAGAAACTTCTAACTCTCTGAGTTGAATGCACACATGAGAAAGCAGTTTCTCAGAAAGCTTCTTTCTAGTTTTTATCTGAAGATGTTTACTTTTGCACCATAGGCCTCAATGCTCTCTGAAATATCCCTTTTCAGATTCAACAAAAACAGTGTCTCCAAACTGCTGAATGAAAAGGGAGGTTTAACTCTGTGAGATTAATGCACACATCACAGAGCAGTTTCTCAGAAAGCTTCCTTCTAGTTTTTATCCTGGGATATTTGCTTTTTGGCATTGGCCTCAAAGAGATCCCAAATATCCATTCCAAGAATGGACAAAAACAGTGTTTCCAAACTACTGAATCCAAAGAAATGTTTATCTCTGTGAGATGAATGCACACATCAAAAAACGGTTTCCCAGAAAGCTTCCTTCTAGTTTTTATCTGAAGATATTTCCTTTTTCACCCTAGGCCTCAATGCTCTCTGAAATATCCCTTTGGAGATTCTACAAACACAGTGTTTCCAACTACTGAATGAAAAGAAATGTATAATTCTGTGAGTGAGTTGAATGCACACATGACAAAGCAGTTTCTCAGATAGATTCCTTGTAGTTTTTATCCTGGGATATTCACTTTTTCTCCATTGACCTCAATGAGCCCTCAAATGCCGAGTAGCAGAACGGATAAAAGGAGTTTTTCCAAACTGTTGTATCCAAAGAATATTTTAACACTGTCAGATGAATGCATACATCAAAAACCACTTTCTCAGAAGGCTTCATTCTAGTTTTTATCTGAAGATGTTTCCTTTTGCCCATAGTCCTCAATTTTCTCTGAAATAAACCTTTGCAGATTCTACAAAAACAGTGTTTCCAAATTGCTGAAAGAAATGAAAGTTTTAATTCTGGAAAATGAATTCACCCATCACATAGCAATTTCTAAGATAGCTTCCTTCTACTTTTTATACTGGGATATCCATGTTTTCCCCATTGGCCACAATGAGTCATCAAATGGCCTTTCACAGAATGGACAAAAACAGTGTTTCCAAACTGCTAAACCCAAAGAAAGTTTTAACTCTGAGATTAATGCTCACATCACAAAGTAGTTTCTAGGAAAATTTCTTTAAGTTTTTTATCTGAATATGTTTCCATTTCACCTTAGGCCTAAATGCTATCTGAAATATCCCTTTGGAGATATTACAAAAAGAGTGTTTCCAAACTGCTGAATGAAACGAAAGGTTTAACTCTGTGAGATGAATGCACACATCACATTGCAGTTTCTCAGATTCCTTCCATCTAGTTTTTGTCCTTGGATATTTGCTTTTTTGCCATTGACCTCAATGAGCTCCCAAATGTCCATTTGCCAAATGAAAAAAAATCCTCTTTCCAAACTCTTGAATCCAAAAAAAGTTTTAGTTCTGTGAGATGAATGTCCATATAACAAAGCAGTTTCTCAGGAACCTTCTTTCTAGTTTTTATCTGAAGATGTTTCCTATTTCACCATAGGCCTCAGTTCTCTCTGAAATACACCTTTGCACTTTCTACAAAAACAGTGTTTCCAAATTGCTGAATGAAAATAAAGGTTTACCTCTGAGAGATGAATGCACACATTGCAAAGCACTTTCTCAGACAGCCTCCTTATAGTTTTATCATGGGATAATCACGTTTTCACCATTGGGTTCAATGAGCTCCTAAATGTCCATTCACAGAATGGACAAAAACACTTTCCAAACTGAGAAATCAAAGAAAGGTTTAACTCTGTGAGATGAATGCACTCATCACAAAGCAGTTTCTCTAAAACATTCTTTCTATTTTTATCTGAAGACATTTCCTTTCTCACAACAGGCCCCAATGCTATTCGAAGTATCCCTTTGCAGATTCTAAAAGAACAGTGTTTCCAAACTGCTGAAAGAAAGAAAGGTTTAAATCTGTGAGATGAATTCATGCATCAGGTAGCAGTTTCTCAGATAGCTTCCTTCTAGTTTTCATCCTTGGATATTTCCTTTTCTGTCTTTTGCCTCAATCAGCTCCCAAATGTCCATTCGAAGAATGGATAAAAGCAGTGTTTCCAAATTACTGAACCCAAAGAAAAGTTTAACTCTGTAAGATGGATGCACACAGTTTCTCAGAAAGCTTTTTCCAGTTTTTATCTGAAGATATTTCCTTTTTCACCATAGGCCTCAATGCTCTCCAAAATATTACTTTGCTGCTTCTACAAAAACACTGCTTCCAAACTGTTGTATGAAAAAAAAAAAACCTTTAACTCTGTGAGGAGAATGCACACACCACAAAGCAGTTTATCAGATAGCTTCCTTCTAAATTTTGTCCTGGGATATTTGATTTTTTGCCTTTACCCATAGTGAACTCAAAAATGTCCATTCACAGAATGGACAAAAACACTCTTTCCAAACAACTGAATTCAAAGAAATGGCTAATTCTGTGAGATGAATGCACACATCACAAAGCAGTTTCTCAGAAGGCTTCTTTCTAGTTTTTATCTAAAGATGTTTCCTTTTTACCATAGGCTTCAATGCTGTCCAAAATATCCCTTTGGAGATACTAAAAAAAAACTGTATATCCAAACTGCTGAATGAAAAGAAAGGTTGAACTTTGTGAGATGAGTGCACACATCACAAAGCAATTTCTCAGATAGCTTCCTTCTAGTTTTTACCCTGGGATATTCACTTTTTTGCCTTTAACCTCAATGAGTTCCCAAATGTCCAGTTGCAGAATGGACAAAAACGTGTTTCCAAACTACTGAATCCAAAGAAAGGTTTAAGTATGTGAGACGAATGCAGACATCACAAAGCAGTTTCTCAGAAAACTTCTTTCTTTTTTTTTCTGTAATTTTTTCCTTTTTCATCATAGTCCTCAATGCTCTCCAAAATATCCCCTTGCAGATTCTACAATAACAGTGTTTCCAAACTGCTGAATGAAAAGAAAGTTTTATCTCTGTGAAATTAATGCAAACATCACATAGCAGTTTCTCAGATAGCTTCCATCTAGTTTTCATCCTGGGATATTCACTTTTTTGCCATTGGCCTCAATGAGCTCCCAAATGTCCATTTGCAGAATGGAAAAAAACTGTCTTTCCAAACTACTGAATCAAAAGAAAGGTTTCGCTCTGTCAGGTGAATGCACACATCATCCAGCAGTTTCTCAGAAAGCTTCTTTCTAGTTTTTATCTGAAGTTGTTTCCTTTTTCACCATAGCCCCAGTCCCCTCCAAAATATCCCTTTGCAGATTCTACAAAAACAATGTTTCCAAACTGATGAATGAAAATAAAGTTTTAAAAATCTAAGGTGAATGCACACATACTAAAGCAGTTTCTCAGATAACTTCCATTTATTTTTTATCCTTGGGTAATTCACTTTTTCGCCATTGGCCTCAATGAGTTTCCAAATGTCCATTCACAGTATGGACAAAAACAATTTATGCAAACTGCTGAGTTCAAAGAATGGTTTATCTCTGTGAGATGAATACAGACACCCCAAAGCAGTTTTTCAGAAAACTTATTTCTAGTTTTTGTCTGAAAATGTTTCCTTTTTCACCATAGTCCTCTATGCACTCCAAAATATCCCTTTGCAGACTCTATAAAAATGTTATTCCCAACTGCTGAATGAAAAGAACGATTTGCAGGCAGTTTCAAGATCACCAAATAAGAACAGCTGCAGTATACAGCTCCCAGTGTGAGCGATGCAGAAAGTGGGTGATTTCTGCATTTCGAACTGAGGTACTGGGTTCATCTCAGTGGTGCTAATCAGGCAGTGGGTGCAGGAGAGTGGGTGCAGTGCACTGAGCATGAGCTGAAGCAGGGCGAGGCATCACTTCATGTGGGAAGTGCAAGGGGTCAGGGAATTCACTTTTCTAGCCAAGCAAAGCTGTGACAAAATCACCTGGAAAATCAGGTCATTCCAACCATAATACTGTGCTTTTCCAATGGTCTTAGCAAATGGCACACGAGGACGTTATATCCCATGCCCAGCTCTGAGGGTCCCACACCCACAGGGCCTCACTCATTGCTAGCACAGCAGTCTGAGATCGAACTGCAAGACAGCAGTGAGCCTGCAGGAGGGGCGCCCACCATTGCTGATGCTTGAGTAGATACACAAAGGGGCCAGGAAGCTACAACTGGGTGGAGCCCACCGCAGCTCAAGGAGACCTGCCTGCCTCTTTGGACTCCACTTCTGGGGACAGGGCATAGCCAAACAAAAGGCAGCAGAACCCTCTGCAGACTTAAATGTCCCTGTCTGACAGCTTTGAAGAGAGTAGTGGTTCTCCCAGCATGGAGTTTGAAATCTGAGAACAGACAGACTGCCTCCTCAAGTGGGTCCCTGACCCCTGAGTAGCCTAACTGGAAGGCACCCCTCAGTAAGGGAAGACAGACTTCTCACATGGCCCGGTAGCCCTCTGAGATGAAACTTCCAGAGGAAAGATCAGGCAGCAAATTCACTGTTCAGCAATATTCGCTGTTTTTCAGCCTCTGTTGCTGATACCCAGGCAAACAGGGTCTGGAGTGGACCTCCAGCAAACTCCAACAAGCATGCAACTGAGGATCCTGACAGCTAGAAGGAAAACAAACAAACAGAAAGGACATCCACACCAAAACCCCATCTGTACGTCACCATCATCAAAGACAAAATGTAGATAAAACCACAAAGATAGGGAAAAAACAGAGCAGAAAAACTGAAAATTCTAAAAGTCAGAGCACCTCTCCTCCCCCAAAGGAACACAGCTCCTCACCAGCAATGGAACAAAGCTGGATTGAGGATGACTTTGATGAGCTGAGATAAGAAGGCTTTAGACAATCAAACTTCTCCAAACTAAAGGATGAAATTCGAACCCATCCCAAAGAAGTTGAAAACCTTGAAAAATATTAGACGACTGGCTAACTAGAATAACCAATGCAGAGAAGTCCTTAAAGGACCTGATGGAGCTGAAAACCATGGCAAGAGAACTATGTGATGAATGCACAAGCTTCAGTAGCTGATTCGATCAACTGGAAGAAAGGGTATCAGTGATTGAAGATCAAATGAATGAAATGAAGTGAGAAGAGTAGTTTAGAGAAAAAAGAGGAAAGAGAAATGAACAAAGCCTCCAAGAAATATGGGACTATGTGAAAAGACCAAATCTACATCTGATTGGTGTACCTGAAAGTGATGGGGAGAATGGAACCAAGTTGGAAAACACTCTGCAGTATATTATCCAGGAGAACTACCCCAACCTAGCAAGGTAGGCCATATTCAAATTCAGGAAATACAGAGAATAGCACAAAGATACTCCTCGAGAAGAGCAACTCCAATACATAATTGTCAGATTCACCAAAGTTGAAATGAAGGAAAAAATGTTAAGGGCAACCAGCGAGAAATGTCGGGTTACTCACAAAGGGAAGACCATCAGACTAACAGCTCATTTCGTGGCAGAAATTCTACATGTCATAAGAGTGTGGGGGCCAATATTCAACATTGTTAAAGAAAAGAATTTTCAAAGCAGAATTTCATATCCAACCAAACTAAGCATCATAAGTGAAGGAGAAATAATATACTTTACAGACAAGCAAATGCTGAGAGATTTTGTCAACACCAGGCCTGCCCCAAAAGAGCTCCTGAGGGAAGCACTAGACATGATAAGGAACAACTGGTATCGGCCACTGCAAAAACATGCCAAATTGTAAAGATCGTCAAGGCTAGGAAGAAACTGCATCAACTAACGAGCAAAATAACCAACTAACATCATAATGACAGTTTCAAATTCACACATAACAATATTAACCTTAAAAGTAAATGGGCTCAATGCTCCAATTAAAAGACACAGACTGGCAAATTGGATAACAGTCAAGAACCATCAGTGTGTTGTATTCAGGAAACATATCTCACCTACAGAGACACCCATAGGCTCCAAATAAAGGGATGGAGGAAGATCTATCAAGCAAATGGAAAACAAAAAAAGGCAGGGGTTGCAATCCTAGTCTCTGATAAAACGGACTTTAAACCAACAAAGATCAAAAGAGACAAAGAAGACCATTACACAATGGTAAAAGGATCAATTCAACAAGAAGAGCTAACTATTCTAAATATATATGCACCCAATACAGGAGCACCCAGATTCATAAAGCAAGTTCTTGGAGACTTACAAAGAGACTTAGGCTCCCACACAATAATAATGGGAGAACTTAGCACCCCACTGTCAATATTAGACAGATCAACGAGACAGAAAGTGAACAAGGATATCCAGGAATTGAAGTCAACTCTGCACCAAGCAGACCTAATAGATATCTACAGAACTCTCCACCCCAAATCAACAGAGCATACATTCTTCTCAACACCAAACTGCACTTATTCCAAAATTGACCACATAGTTGAAGTAAAGCACTCCTCAGCAAATGTAAAAGAACAGAAATGATAACAAACAGTCTGTCAGACCACAGTGCAATCAAACTAGAACTCAGGATTAAGAAACTCACTCAAAACTGCTCAACTACACGGAAACTGAACAACCTGCTCCTAAATGACTACTAAGTACATAACGAAATGAAGGCAGAAATAGACATTCTTTGAAACCAACGACACAGCACACTAGAATCTCTGGGACACATTTACAGCTGTGTGTAGAGGGAAATTTATAGGACTAAATGTCCACTAGAGAAAGCAAGAAAGATCTAAAATTGACACCCTGACATCACAATTAAAAGAACTACAGAAGCAAGAGCAAAAACACTCAAAAGCTAGCAGAAGGCAAGAAATAACTAAAATCAGCACAGAACTGAAGGAGCTAGAGACAAAAGAAACCCTTGAAAAAATCAATGAATCCAGGAGCTGGTTTTTTGAAAAGATCAGCAAAATTGATAGACAGCTGGCAAGACTAATAAAGAAGAAAAGAGGAAGAATCAAATAGATGCAATAAAAAATGACAAAGGGGATATCACCACTGATCCCACAGAAATATAAACTATGATCAGAGAGTACTATAAACACCTCTACACAAATAAACTAGAAAATCTAGAAGAAATGGATAAGTTCCTCGACACACACACCCTCCCAAGACTAAACCAGGAAGAAGTTGAATCTCTGAATAGACCAATAACAGGCTCTGAAACTGAGGCAATAATTAATAGCTTACCAGCCTAAAAAGTCCAAGACTACATGGATTCACAGCTGAATTCTACCAGAGGTACAAGGAGAATCTGGTACCATTCCTTCTGAAACTATTCCAATCAATAGAAAAAGTAGGAATCCTCCCTAACTCATTTTATGAGACCAGCATCATCCTGATACCAAAGGATGGCAGAGACACAACAAAAAAAGATAATTTTAGACCAATATCCCTAATGATGAACATCGATGCAAAAATCCTCAATAAAATACTGACAGAATGAATCCAGTGGCACATCAAAAAGCTTATCCACCATGATCAAGTTGGCTTCATTCCTAGGATGCAAGGTTGGTTCAACACATGCAAATCAATAAATGCAATCCAGCATATAAACAGAACCAAAGACAAAAACCACATGCTTACCTCAATAGATGCAGAAAAGGCCTTTGAAAAAATTCAACTACGCTTCATGCTAAAAACTCTCAATAAATTAGGTATTGATGGGACGTTTCTAAAAATAGTAAGAGCTATCTATGACAAACCCACAGTAAATATCATGCTGAATGGGCAAACACTGGAAGCATTCCCTTTGAAAACTGGCACAAGACAGGGATGCCTGCTCTCACCACTCCTATTCAACATACTGTTGGACTCTCTGGCCAGGGCAATTAGGCAGTAGAAAGAAATAAAGGGTATTTAATTAGGAAAAGAGGAAGTCAAATTGCCCCTGTTTGCAGAAGACATGATTGTATATCTAGAAAACCCCATCGTCTCTGCTCAAAATCTCCTTAAGCTGATAAGCAACTTCAGCAAAGTCTCAGAATCACAATCAGTGTGCGAGAATCACAAGAATTCTTATACACCAATAACAGACAAACAGAGAGCGCAATCATGAGTGAACTCCCATTCACAATTGCTTCAAACAGAATAAAATATCTAGGAATCCAATTACAAGGGACATGAAGGACCTCTTCAAGGAGAACTACAAACCACTGCTCAATGAAATAAAAGAGGATGCAAACAAGTGGAAGAACATTCCATGCCCTTGGATAGGAAGAATCATACTGAAAATGGTGAAATGGTCATACTGCCCAAGGTAATTTATAGATTCAATGCCATCCCCATCAAGCTACTAATGACTTTCTTCACAGAATTGGAAAGAACTACTCTAAAGTTCATATGGAACAAAAAAGGGCCCACATTGCCAAGTCAACCCTAAACCAAAAGAACAGAGCTGGAGGCATCACACTACCTAACTTCAAACTATACTACAAGTCTATAGTAATCAAAAGAGCATGGTACTGATACCAAAACAGAGATATGGACCAATGGAACAGAACAGAAGTCTCAAAAATAATACCACACATCAACAACTATATGATTTATGACAAACCTGACAAAAACAAGAAATGGGGAAAGGATTCCCTATTGAACAAATGGTGCTGGGAAAACTGGCTAGCCATATGTAGAAAGCTGAAACTGGATCCCTTCCTTACACCTTATACAAAAATTAGTTCAAGATGGATTGAAGACTTATATCTTAGACTTAAAACCATGAAAACCCTAGAAGAAAACGTAGGCAATATCATTCAGGACGTAGGCATGGGCAAGGACTTCATGTCTAAAACACCAAAAGAAACAGCAACAAAAACTGAAATTGACAAATGGGATCTAATTGAACTAAAGAACTTCTGCACAGCCAAAGAAACTACCATCAAAGTGAACAGGCAACCTACAGAATGGGAGAAAATTTTTGCAATCTACTCATCTGACAAAGGGCTAATATCGAGAATCTACAAGGAACTCAAACAAATTTACAAGAAAAATAAACCAAAGAAACCCAACAACAAGTGGGAGGAAGACATTAAAGACACTTCTCAAAAGAAGAATTTATGCAGCCAACAGACACATGAAAAACTGCTCATCATCAGTGACCATCGGAGAAATGCAAATCAAAGCCACAATGAGATACCTTCTCACACTAGTTAGAATGGTGATCATTAAAAAGTCAGGAAACAACAGGTGCTGGAGAGGATGTGGAGAAAAAGGAACACTTTTTACACTGTTTGTGGGACTGTAAACTAGTTCGACCATTGTGGAAGTCAGTGTGGCTATTCCTCAGGGATCTAGAACTAGAAATACCATTTGACCCAGCAATCCCATTACTGGGTATATACCCAAAGGTTTATAAATCATTCTGCAATAAAGACACATGCACACATATGTTTACTGTGGCACTATTCACAATAGCAAAGACTTGGAACCAACCCAAATGTCCAACAATGATAGACTGGATGAAGAAAATGTGGCACATATACACCATGGAATACTATGCAGCCATAAAAAATGATGAGTTCATGTCCTTTGTAGGGACATGGATGAAACTGGAAACCATCATTCCCAGCAGACTATCACAAGTACATAAAACTAAACACTGCATATTCTCACTCATAGGTAGGAATTGAATAATGAGAACACTTGGACACAGGAAGTGGAACATCACACACCGGGGCCTTTTGTGGAGTGCAGGGAGGCGGGAGGGATAGCATTAGGTGACATACCTAATGTAAATGACGAGTTAACGGGTGCAGCACACCAACATGGCATATTTATACATAAACTTGCACATTGTGCACATTTACCCTAGAACTTTAAGTGTAAAATATATATATAATATATATATAAAATATATAGATTATATATAGTATATATATTATATAGATAATATATATATATTATATAGATAATATATAATATATAATATATTATATAGATAATATATATATATATAAAGAAAAGAAAGGATTAACTCTGCGAGATGAATGCACACATCACAAAGCAGTTTCTCAGATAACTTCCTTCCAGTTTTTATCCTGGGATATTCACTTTTTACCCATTGGTCTCAATGAGCTCTGAAATGTCCATTTGCATAATGGACAAAAACAGTGTTCCAAACTTCTGAATCCAAAAAAAGTTTAACTCCCTGAGATGAGTGCAGACATCACAAAGCAGTTTTTCAGGAAGTTTCTTTATAGTTATTATATGAAGATATTTCCTTTTTCACCATAGGCCTCAATGCTCTCTGAAATATCCCTTTGAGAATTCTAAAAAAGAGTGTTCCAAACTGTAGAATGAAAAGCAAGGTTTAATTCTGAAAGATGAATGCTAACATCACATAGAAGTTTCTCAGATAGCTTCCAGCTAGTTTTTATTGTGGGTTATTTACTTTTTCCCTATTGACCTCTATGAGCTCACAAATGTCCATTTGCAGAATGGAAAAAAAACAGTGTTTCCAAACTGCTAAATCCAAAGGAAGTTTTAACACTGTGAGATAAATGTGCACACCACAAAGCAGTTTCTCAGAAAGCTTCTTTCTAGTTTTTATCTGAAGATGTTTCCTATTTCACCATAGGCCACAATACTCTCTGAAATATCACTTTGCAGATTCTACAAAAACAGTGTTTCCAAACTGCCGAATGAAAAGGAAGGTTTAACTCTGCAAGATGAATGCACACATCACGTAGCAGTGTCTCAGATAGTTTCCGTCTAATTTTTATCCTGGGATATTGGCTTTTTCCCCATTGGCCTAAATGGGCACCCAAATGTTCATTCACAGAATGGACAAAAACAGCGTTTCCAAACTGCTGAATTGACAGAGATTTAACTCTGTGAGACGAATGTATACATCACAAAGAAGTTTCTCATAAAGCTTCTTTTTGCTTTTTATCTGAAGATGTTTCCTACTTCACCATAGGATTCAATGCTCTCTGAAATATTCCTTTGCAGATTCTACAAAAATAGTGTTCCCAAACTGCTGAATGAAAGCAAAGTTTTAACTCTGTAAGATGTATGCACACATCACATAGCAGTTTCTCAGATACCTTCCATCTACTTTTTATCCTGGGATATTTGCTTTTTCTTTTTTGGCATCAATGAGATCCCCAATGTCCATTCGCAGAATGGACAAAAAATACTGTTTCCAAACTGATGAATCCAAAGGAAGGTTTAACACTTTGAGATAATGTGCACCTCACAAAGCAGTTTCTTAGAAACCATCTTTATATTTTTTATCTGAAGATGTTTCCATTTTCACCATAGGCTTCATGCTCTCTGAAATACCCCTTTGCAGATTCTACAAAAACAGTGTTTCTAAACAACTGAATGGAAAGAAAGAGTTAATTCTACTAGATGAATGCATGCATCCCTTAGCAGATTCTCAGATAATTTCCATCTAATTTTTATCCTGGAATATTCGCTTTTTCACCATTGACCTCAATGAGCTCCCAAATATTCATTTGCAGAATGGACAGAAACAGTGTTTCCAAACTACTGAATTGACAGAAAGTTTTAACTCTGTGAGATGAATGCACACATCAAAAAGCAGTTTCTCAGAAAGCTTCCTTTTGGTTTTATCTGAAGATGTTTCCTTTTTCACCATAGGCCTCAAAGCTCTCTGAAATATACCTTTGCAGACTCTACAAAAAAAAAGTGTATCTAAACTGCTGAATGAAAAGAAAGTTTTAACTGTGTGAGATGAATGCACACATCACAAAGTGTTTCTCAGCTAGCTTCCTTCTTGTTTTTATCCTGTGATATTCACTCTTTCCCTGTTGGCCTCAAGGATCTCCCAAATGGCCATTCGCAGAATGGACAAAAATAGTGTTGCCAAATTGCTGAAACCAAAGAAAGGTTTAATTCTTTGAGATGAATGCACACATCTCAAATCACTCTCTCAGAATATTCTTTCTAGTTATTATCTGAATATTATTTCTTTTTCACCATATGCCTCAATGCTCTCCAAAATATCCCTTTGCAGCTTCTCAAAAAACAGTGTTTCCCAACAGCTGAATGAAAAGAATGGTTTAACTCTGTGAAGTGAATGCAGACATCACAATGCGATTTCTCAGATGGCTTCCTTCTAGATTTTATCCAGGGATATTCGCTTTCCCACCATTGGCGTCAATGAGCTCCCAAATGTCCATTTGCACAGTGGACAAAAACAGTGTTTCAAAACTGCTCAATCAAAAGAATAGTTCAACTCTGTGAGATAAATGCACACATCACACAGAAGTTTCTCAGAAAGCTTCTGTCTAATTTTTATGCGAAGATATTTCCTTTTTCACCATATGCCTCAAGGAGCTCACAAATATCCCTTTGCAGATTCTACAAAAAGGCAGTTTCCAATCTGCTGAATGAAAAGAATGGTGTAACTCTGTGAGACGAATGCTCACATCACATAGCTGTTTCAGAGATAGTTTCTGTCTAGTTTTTATCCTGGGATATTCCTTTTTTCTCCTTTGGCCTAACTGAGCTCCCAAATGTCCATTTGCAGAATGGACAAAGACAATGTTTCCAAACTACTTAATCCAAGGAAAGGTTTAACTCTGTGAGATGAATGCACACATCACAAAGCAGTTCTCAGAAAGCTTCTTTTCTAGTTTTTATCTGAAGGTGAGTCTTTTTTCCACAAAGGCCACAATGCTCTCTGAAATACCCCTTTGCATTCTACAAAAGCGATGTTTCCAAACTGCAGAATAAAAATCAATATTTAACTCTGTGAGATGAATGCAGACATCACATAGCAGTTTTTCAGATAGCTTCCTTCTAGTTTTAATCCTGGGACATTTCCTTTTTTGCCATTGCCTCCAATGAGTTCTCAAATGTCCATTCACTGCAGGGACAAAAACAGTGTTTCCAAACTCCTGAATCCAAAGAACTGTTTGACTCTGTGAGATGAATGCACATATCACAAAGCAGTTTCTCAGAAAGCTTGTTTCTAGTTTTTATCAGAAGTTATTTCCTTTTTCACCATAGGCCTCAATGCTCTCCATAATATCCCTTTGCAGTCCCTACAGAAACGGTGTTTCCAAACTGCTCAGTGGAAAGCATGGTTTAACTCTTTGAGATGAATGCAGACATCACAAAGCAGTTTCTCAGATAGATTCATTCTAGTTTTTATCCTGGGATATTCCCTTTTATGCCATTGGCTTCATGGAGCTATCAATTGTCCATTCTCTAAGTGGGCAAAAACAGTGTTTACAAATTGCTGAATGAAAAGAATGGTTTAACTATGTGAGGTGAGTGCACAAATGATAAACTGGTTTCTCAGATAGATTGCTTCAAGTTTTTATTCTGGGTTATTCACTTTTTTGCCATTGGCCTCAATGAGCTCTGAAATGTCCATTCACAGAATGGACATAAACTGTGTTTCCAAAGTACTGAATCTGAAGAAAGTTTTAAGTCTGTGAGATGAATGCTGCTGAATAAAAAGCATGGTTTAACTCTGTGAGATGAATGCACACATCACAGAGCAGTTTGTCAGATAGCTTCCTTCTAGTTTTTATCCTGGGATATTCCCTTTTTCGACATCAGTCTCAATGAACTCCCAAATGTCCATTCGCTGAGTAGACAAAAACAGTGTTTCAAAACTGTTGAATCCAGTGTACAGTTTAACTCTGTGAGATGAATTCACGCATCACAAGGCAGTTTCTCAGAAATATTCTTTCCAGTTTATATCTGAAGATATTTCCTTTTTCACCATAGTTCTTAATTCACTCCAAAATATCCCTTTGAAGATTCTACAAAGCACTGTTTCCAAACTGCTGTATGAAAAGAAAGCTTTAACTCTGCGAGATGAATGCACACATCACAAAGCAGTTTCTCGGATAGCTTCCTCCTAGGTTTTATTCAAGGATATTCAGTTTTTCACCAATGGCTTCAATTAAGTACCAAATGTCCATTCAAAACACCCTTTCCAAATTATTGAATCCAAAGAAAGGTTTAAATCTGTGAGATGACTGCACACACCATAAGGCAGTTTCTTAGAAAGCTTCTTTCTAGTTTTTATCTGAAGAGGCCATTTCACCAAAAGCCTCAATGCTCTCTGAAATAACCCTTTGTGAATTCTACAAAAACAGTGTTTCCAAACTACTGAATGAAAAGAAAGGTTTATCTCTGCGAGATCAGTGCTCACATCACAAAGAGGTTTCTGAGATAACTTCTTTCTAGTTTTTATCCAGGGATATTCTCTTTTTCACCATTCACCTCAATGAGCTCCAAAATGCCCATTCGCAGACTGGACAAAAACATTTTTCCAAACTGCTGAATCCAGTGTACAGTTTAACTCTGTGAGATGAATTCACACAACACAAGGCAGTTATTCAGAAAGATTCTTTCAAGTTTATATCTGAAGATATTTCCTCTTTCAACATAGTCCTCAATATGCTGTAAAATATCCTTTTGATGAGTCTACAAAAACAGTTTCCAAACTGCTGTATGAAAAGAAAGCTTTAACTCTGCAAGATGAATGCACACATCACAAAGCAGTTTCATAGATAGCTTCCTTCGAGTTTTTATACAGGAATATTCTCTTTTTCACCAATAGCCTCAATGGAGTACCAAATGTCCATTCAAAACACTCTTTTCAAATTACTGAATCCAAAGAAAGGCTTAACTCTGTGAGATGATTGCAGACATGACAAAGCTGTTTCTCAGAGATCTTTGTAGTTTTTATCTGAGGAAGTTTCCTTTTTCACCATAGGCCTCAATGATCTCTGTAATATCCCATTGCATATTAAACAAAAACAGTGTTCCAAACTACTGAATGAAAAGCATGCTTAATTCCGTGAGATGAATGCACACATCGCATAGCAGTTTCTCATGTAGCTTTCTTCTAGTTTTCATCCTGGGATATTACCTTTTTCACCATTGGCCACAAAGAAATCCCAAATATCCATTCACTGAGAGGACAAAAAAAGTGTTTCAAAACTGCTGAATCCAAAGAAAGGTTTAATTCTGTCAGATGAATGCACACATCATAAGGCAGTTACTAAAAAATCTTCTTTCTAGTTTTTATATGAAAATGTTCCCTATTTCACCATAGGCCTGAATACTCTCCTAAATATCCATTTGTGGATACTACAAAAACAGTGTTTTGAAACTGCTGTATGAAAAGAAAGGTTTAAATCTGTGAGATGAATGCACACATACCAAAGCAGTTTCTCAGGTAGCTGCCTTCTGGTTTTAATCCTGGGATATTTGCTTTTTCGTCATTGTCCTCAAGGAGCTCACAAATATCCATTTGCAGAATGGACAAAACAATCTTTACAAGCTACTCAATCCAAAGAATGCACACATCACAAAGCAGTTTCTCAGAACATTTATTTCTAGTTTTTATCTGAAGATGTTTCCTATTTCACCACAGGCTTCAATACTCTCGGAAATAATACTTTACAGATTCTACCAAAACAGTGTTTCCAAAGTGCTGGATGAAAAGAAAGGTTTAACTCTGTGAAATGAATTCTCATATCACAAAGCAGTTTCTCAGATAGCTTCCTCCTAGTTTTAATATAAGGATATTCCCTTTATTGGCATTGACCTCAATGAGCTCCCAAATGTCCATTCACAGAATGTCAAAAAAAGTTTTTCCAAACTACTGAATCCAAAGAAAGGTTTAACACTGTGAGATGAATGCACACATCACAAAGCAGTTACTCAGAAAGCTTCTTTCTAGTTTTTATATGACGATGTTTCCTTTATCACCCTTGGACTCAATGCTCTCTGAAATATCCCTTT
Organism: Homo sapiens; assembly: GCF_000001405.40. NCBI lineage: Eukaryota > Metazoa > Chordata > Mammalia > Primates > Hominidae > Homo > Homo sapiens. The sequence continues at coordinate 353,243 of NW_011332694.1, forward strand.
GCAGATTCTACATAAACAGTGTTTCCAAACTAATGAATGAAAAGAAAGGTTTAACTCTGTGAGATGAATGCACACACCACAATGCATTTTCTCAGACAGATTCCTTCTAGTTTTACCCTGGTATAATCTATTTTTCACCATTGGCCTCTATGAGTTCCCAATGTCCATTCACAGAATGGACAAAAACAGTATTTCCAAACTACTGAATCCAAAGAAAGGTTTATGTTTTTGAGATGAATCAACACATCACAAAACAATTTCTCAGATAGCTTCCATCTAGTCTTTATCTGAAGATTTTTCCTTTTTCACTGTAGGCCTCAATGCTCTCTGAAATATCCCTTTTGAGATTCTGCAAAAACATCATTTCCAAACTGCTGAATCCAAAGAAATGTTTAACTCTGTGAGATGAATGCACACATCACAAAGCAGTTTCTCAGAAAGCTTCTTTCTATTTTTATCTGAAGATGTTTCCTTTTTCACCAGAGGCCTCAATTTTCTCTGAAATATCTGTTTTCAGATTCTACAAAAACAGTGTTTCCAAACTACTGAATCCAAAGACAGCTTTAATTCTCTGAGATGAATGCACACATTACAAAGCAATTTCTTAGAATGCTTCTTTATAGTTTTTATCTGAAGATGTTTCCTTTTTCACCATAGGCCTCAATGCTCTTCAAAATACCTGTTTTCCAATTCTAGAAAAACAGTGTTTCCAAACTGCTGTTCCAAAGACAGGTTTAATTTTGTGAGATGAATGCACACTTCAGAAAGCAGTTTCTAAGAAAACTTCTTTCTAGTTTTACCTAAGATGTTTCATTTTTAACAGTAGGTGCCAATGCTTTGCTAAATATCCCTTTGGTGATTCTAGAAAAACAGTGTTTCCCAAACTACTGAATCCAAAGACAGGTTTACCTCTGTGACATGAATGCACACATCACAAAGCGATTCTCAGATAGCTTCCTTCTAGTTTTTATCTTACGATATTCACATTTTCACAATTAGCCTCAGTGAGCTCCCAAATGTTCATTTGCACAATGGAAAAAAACAGTGTTTGCAAACTATTGAATTCAAAGAATCGTTTAAGTCTGTGAGATGAATGCACACATCACAAAGCAGTTTCTCAGAAAGCTGCTTTCTAGTTTTTATATGAAGGTGTTTCCTCTTTCACCACAGGCCTCAATGCTCTGGGAAATATCCCTTTGGAGATTCTAAAAAATAGTGTATCCAAACTGCTGAATCCAAAAAAGGTTTAACTCTGTGAGATGAATGCCCACACCACAAAACAGTTTCTCAGCAAGATTCTTTCTAGTTTTTATTTGAAGATATTTCCTTTTTGACCATAGTCCTCAATGCTCTCCGAAATGTCCCCTGGCAGCTTCTACAAAAACACTGTTTCCAAACTGCTGAATGAAAAGAAAGGTTTAACTCTGTGAGATGAATATGTACATCACATAGTAGTTTCTCACATAGTTTCCACTTGGGTTTATCCTGGGATATTTCACTTTTTTGCCATTGGCCTCAATGAACTCCCAATTGTCCATTCCCAGAAGGGACAAAAATAGTGTTTCAAATGACTGACTCAAAAGAAAGGTTTAACTCTGTGAGATGAATGCACATAGCACAAAGCAGTCTCTCAGAAAGCTTCTTTCTAATTTTTATCTAAATATTTTTCCTTTTTCACCTTAGGCCTAAATGCTCTTTCAAATATCCCTTTGCAGATACTACAAAAACAGTGTTTCCAGAGTGCTGAATGAAAAGAAAGGTTTAACTCTGTTCGATGAACGCACACAACACACAGCAGTTTCTCAGATAGCTTCCTCCTAGTTTTTATCCTGCTATGTTTGATTTTTCAACATTGGCCTCAGTGAAGCAGCAAATGTCCATTCGTAGATTGGAAAAAACAGTGTTTTGAAAGTACAGAATCCGAAAAATATTTAAGTCTGTGACATGAAAGCACACATCACAAAGCAGATTCCCAGAAAGCTTCTTTGTAGTTTTTATCTGAAGATGTTTCCGTTTTCACCATAGGCCTGAATTCTTCCCAAAACATCCCTTTGAAGATACTACAAAAACACTCTTTCCAAGCTGGTGCATCCAAAGGGAAGTTTAACTCTGTGAGATGAATGCACACATCACAAAGTAGTTTCTCAGAAAGCTTCTTTCTACTTTTTATCTGAACATGGTTCCTTTTTCTCCGTAGACCTCAATTCTCTCTGAAACATCCATTTGTAGATTCTACAAAAACACTGTTCCCAAACTGCTGCATTCAAAGAAAGGTTAATGAATGCACACTTCACAGGGCAGTTTCTCAGAAAACTTTCTAGTTTTTATCTGAAGATATTTCCTTTTTCACCATAGGCCTCAATGATCTCCCAAATATCCCTTTGCAGATTCTACTAAAACTGTATTTCTAAACTGCTGATTGAAAAGAAAGTTTTAATTCTGCAAGATGAATGCACATATCACATAGCAGTTTCTCAGATAGCTTCCATCTAGTTTTTCTCTTGGGATATTCGCTTTTTTGCCATGGGCCTCAATGAGTTCCCATCTGTCAATTCACAGAATGAACAAAAACTCTCTTTCCAAACTACTGCATGGAAAGAAAAGATTAATTCCTCGACATGAATGCACAAATTACAAAGCAGTTTCTCAGAAAGCTTCTTTTTAATTTTTATCTGAAGATATTTCTTTTTTCACCATAGTCCTCAATGCTCTGTGAAATATCCCTTTGGAGATTCTACAAAAACAGTGTTTCCAAACTGCGGAATGAAAAGTAAGGTTTAACTCTGTGAGATGAATGCACACATCACAAAGTGGTTTCTCAAATAGCTTCCATCTACTTTTTATCCTGGGATATCTGCTTTCTCCCCATAGGCCTCAGTGAGCTCCAAAAAGAAAGGTTTAACTCGGTGAAACGAATGATCACATTGCAAAGTGGCTTATCAGATACCTGCCTTCTAGTTTTAATCCTGGGATATTCCATTTTTTGCCTTTGGCCCCAATGTTCTCCCAATTGTCCATTCCGCGAATGGACAAAAACAATGTTTCCAAACAGCTGAATCTAAAGAATGGTTTAACTTTATGGGATGAATGCACACATCACATAACAGTTTCTCAGATAGCTTCCATCGACTTTTTATCCTGGGATATATGTTTTTTCCCCGTAGATCTCAATGAGATCCCAAATGGTCATTCACAGAATGGACAAAAACAGTGTTTCCAAACTGCTGAATGAAGAGAAAGGTTTAACTCTGTGAGATGAGTGCCCATATCACAAAGCAGTTTCTCAGATACTTTCCTTCGCGTTTTTATCCTGGGATACTTGCTTTTTTGCCATTGTCTTCAGTGATCTCCAAAATGTCAATTTGCAGAATGGATTAAAACAGTTTTTCCAAACTCCTGAGTCCAAAGAAGGGTTTAGCTCTGTGATTTGAACGTCCACATCACAAAGTAATTTCACAGAAAGCTTCTTTCTAGTTTTTATCTGAAGGTGTTGCCTATTTCACTGTAGGCCTCAATGCTCTCTCAAGTATCCTTTTGCAGATTGTACAAAAACAGTCTTTCCAAACAGCTGAATGAAAAGAAAGGTTTAACACTGTGAGTTAAATGCACCCATCCCAAAGTGGATTCTCAAATAGCATCCTTATAGTATTTATGCTGAGATATTAGCTTTTGACAATGAGCTTCATTGAGCTCCCAAATGTTTATTTGTAGAATGGACAAAAATAATTTCTCCAAAGTGATGAACAAAAGAAAGATTTAATTATGTTAGATGAATGGACACAACACAAAGCAGTTTCTCAGAAAGGTTATTTCTAATTTTAATCTGAAATTGTTTCCTTTTTTCAACATTGGCCTCTATGCACTCCCAAATGTAACATAGCAGATTCTACAAAACCATTGTTTCCAAACTGCTAAATGAAAAGAAAGTTTTAACTCTGTGAGATGAATGCACACATCAAAAACGTTTCCTCAGATAGCTTCCTTCTAGTTTGTACCCTGGGATATTCCTTTTTCTGAAGTTGGCCTCAAAGAGCTCTCAAACGTCCATTCACAGAATGGACAAAAACAGTCTTTCCATACTGCTGAATTGAAAGAAGTGTTTAACTCTGTGAGATGAATGCACACATCACAATGCAGTTTTTCAGAAAGCTTCTTTCTAGTTTTTATCTGAATATGTTTCTTTTTTCTCTATAGGTCTCAATGTGCACCCAAATATCCCTTTTCAGATTCTATAGAAACAGTTTTTCCAAACTGCTGAATGAAAAGAAAGATTTAACTCAGTGAGATGAATGCACACAAAACAAAGCAGTTTCTCAGATAGCTTCCTTCTGGTTTTTGTCCTGGGATATTTTCTTTTTCGTGATTTGTCTCAATGAGCTCCCAAATGTCCATTCACAGAATGGACAAAAACACTCTTTCCAAACTGCTGAATCCAAAGAAAGGTTTAACACTGTGAGATGTATAGATACATAATGAAGCACTTTCTCACAGTGCTTCTTTCTTGTTTTTATCTGAAGATGTTTCCTTTTTCACCATAGACCTCAATGCATTCCCAAATATTGCTTCACAGATTCTACAAAAACCGTTATTCCAAACTGGTGAGTGAAAAGAAAGCTTTAACTCTTTGAGATCAATGCACACATCACAAATCGGTTTCTCAGATAGCTTCCTTGTAGTTTTTATCCTTGGATATTTGCTTTTTCACCACTGGCCTCAATGAGCTCCAAGATGTCCTATCACAGAATGGACATAAACAGTGTTTCCAAACTGCTGAATACAAAGAAAAGTTTAATTATGTGAGATGAATGCACACATCACAAAGCAGCTTATCAGAAAGCTTCTTACTAGTTTTAATCTGAAGATGTTTCCTTTTTCACCATGTGCATCTATGTACTCCCTAATATCGCTTCACAGATTCTACAAAAACAGTCTTTCCAAACTGCTGAATGAAAAGAATGGGTTAACTCTTCAGATGAATACACATATCCCAAAGCAGTTTCTCAGATAGCTTATAGAATCTAGTTTTTATCCTAGGATATTCACTTTTTCCCCTTTGGCCTCAAATATCTCCCAAATATCCATTGGCAAAATGGAAAAAAATCTTGTTTCCAAACTGCTGAATCCAAAGAAAGGTTTAAATCTGTGAGATGAATGCATACATAAAAAAGCAGTTTCTGAGAAAGTATTTTCCTAGTTTTTATCTGTGGATGTTTCCTATTTCACCATAAGCCTCAAGTTTCTCTGAACTATCCCTTTGCAGATTCTATAAAAACAGTGTTTCCAAACTACTGAATGCAAAGGAAATTTTAACTCTGTGAGATGAATGCACACATCACAAAGCAGTTTTTCAGATTGCTTCTTTGTAGTTTTTAGCCTGGGATATTATCTTTTTCGCCTTTGGCCTCAAAGAGCTCCCAAATGTTCATTCACCGAATGGACAAAAACAGTGTTTCCAAAATACTGAATCCAAAGAATGGTTTAACTCAGTGAGATGAATGCACACATCAGAAAGAAGTTTCTCAGAAACCTTCTTTGTAGTTTTTACCTGAAGTGGTTTCCTTTTTCATCATGGGCCTCAATGCACTCAGAAATATCCCTTTGCAGATTCTACAAAAACAATGCTTCCAAACTGCTGAAAGAAAAGAAAGGTTTAAAACTGTGAGATGAATGCACACATCACAAAGCAGTTTCTCAGAAAGCTTCCTGCTAATTTTTGTCAGACGTTTCCTTTTTCACCATAGGCCTCAATGCACTCCCAAACTTCCCTTCACAGATTTTACAAAATCAGTGTTTCCAAACTGCTGAATGAAAAGAATATTTAATCCTGTGAGAGGAATGCAGACAACACAAAGCAGTTCCTCAGATAGCTTCCTTGTAGTTTTGATCCTGGGATATTCAGTTATTTGCCATTGGCCTCAAAGACCTCCCAAATTTCCATTTGCAGCATGGACAAAAACAGTGTTTACAAACTGCTGATTCCAAAGAGAGCTTTAAGTCTGTGAGATGAATGCACACATCACAGGTCAGTTTCTCAGAAAGGTTCTTTCTAGTTTTTATCTGAAGATATTTTATTTTACACAATAGGCCTCATTGCACTCCCAAATATCCCCTCATGGATTTGACAAGAAACATTCTTTCCAAAGTGTTGAATGAAAAGACAGGTTTTCCTCTGTGAGATAAATGCACACATCACAAAGCCGCTTCATAGATACTGTCCTTCTAGTTTTTAACTTGTAATATTCGATTTTTTTCCATTGGCCTCAATGAACTCCAAAAAGTCCATTCACAGAATGGAAAAGCACATTATTTTCAAACAGCTGAATCCAAGGAAAGGTTTAACTCTGTGAGATGTATAGAAACATAACAAAGCACTTTCTCACAGAGCTTCTTTCTTGTTTTTATCTGAAGATGTTTCCTTTTTCACCATAGGCCTCAATGCATTCCCAAATATTGCTTTGCAGATTCTACAAAAATGGGTATTCCAAATGGCTGAGTGAAAAGAAAGTTTTAAGTCTGTGAGATCAATGAACAGATCACAAATCGGTTTATCAGATAGCATCCTTGCGGTTTTTATGCTGGGATATTTGCTTTTTCACCACTGGCCTCAATGAGCTCCAAGATGTAGTTTCGCAGAATGGACATAAACAGTGTTTCCACACTGCTGAATCCAAAGAAAGGTTTAATTATGTGAGATGAATGCAAACATCACAAAGCAGTTTATCAGAAAGCTTCTTTCTAGTTTTTATCCAAAGATGTTTCCTTTTTGATGGTACGCATCCATATACTCCCAAATATACCTTTGCAGATTCTACAAAAACAGTGTCTCCAAAATGCTGAATAAAAAGAAATGGTTAACTCTGCAGGATGAATGCACACATCCCAAAGCGGTTTCTCAGATAGATTCCTTCTAGCTTTTATCCTGGGATATTCACTTTTTTCCCATTGGCCTCAATGAGCTCCCAAATATCCATTTGCATAATGGACAAAAACAGTATTTCCAAACTGCTGAATCAAAAGAAAAGTATAACTGTGAGAGTTGAATGCACACATCACAAAGCAGTTTCTCAGAAACATTTTTTTCAGTTTTTATCTGAAGATATTTCCTTTTTCACCCTAGGCCTCAATTTGCTGCTAAATACTCCTTTGCAGATTCTACAAAAACAGTTTTTCCAACCTGCCATATGAAAAGAAAGTTTTAACCTTGTGAGATGAATGCACATATCACAAAGCAGGTTCTCGGATAGTTTCCTTTTAGTATTTGTGCTGGGATATTCACTTTTTCACCATTGCCTTCATTGAGCTCCCAAATATCTATTCACAGAATGGACAAAAAGAATTTTTCCAAACTGCTGAACAAAAGAAATGGTTTAATTCTGTTAGATGAAGGCACACATCACAAAGCAGTTTTTCAGAGAGGTTCTTTCTAAATTTTAACTGAAGATGTTTCCTTTTTCAACAGAGGCCTCTATGCACTCCCAAATATCCCATAGCAGATTCTACAAAACCATTGTTTCCAAACTGCTAAATGAAAATAAACTTTTAACTCTGTGAGATGAATGCACACATCACAAAGGAGTTCCTCAGATAGCTTCCTTCTAGTTTCTACCCTGGGATAATTCCTTCTTTGACACTAGCCTTAAAGAGCCCTCAAATGTCCATTCACAGAATGGACAAAAACAGCCTTTCCATACTGCTGAATCCAAAGAAATGTTTAACTCTGTGAGATGAATGCACACATCACAAAGCAGTTTCTCAGAAAGCTTCTTGCTAGTTTTTACCTGAAGGTATCTCCTTTTTACCATAGGCCTCAATGCTATCCAAAATATCCCTTTGCAGATGCTACAAAAACAGTGTTTCCAAACTGCTGAATGAATAGAAATATTTAACTGTGCAAGAAGAATGCACGCATCACATAACAGTTTCTCAGGTAGCTTCCACGTACTTTTTATCCTGGGATATTTTCTCTTCCCCATGGGCCACAGTAAAGTCAAAATATCCATTCCAAGATTGGACAAAAGCAGTGTTTCCAAACTGCTGAATCCAAAGAAAGTTTTGACTCTGTGAGATGAATGCACAAAGCCGAAAGCAGTTTCTCAGAAAGTGTCTTTCTAGTTTTTATCAGAAGATATTTCCTTTTTCATGATAAACCTCAGTGCTCTCTGAAATATCCCTTTGCTGGTTCTACAAAAACACTGTTTCCAAACTGCTGTATGAAAAGGAAGCTTTAATTCTGCGAGATGAATGTACACAACACAAAGCCATTTCTCAGAAAGATTCCTTCTAGATTTTATCCTGTTATATTCACTTTTTCACCATTAGCCACAAGGAACTCCCAAAAGTACATTCACAGTATGAACAAATACAGTGTTTCCAAACTGCTGAATCCAAAGAGAGGTTTACCTCTGTGAGATGAATGCACACAACACAAACCAGTTTCTCAGGAAGCTTCTTTCTAGTTTTTATCTCAAGATGTTTCCTTTTTCAACATAAGCCTCAATGCTTTCCAAAATATCCCTTTGCAGATTCTGCAAAAACAGTGTTTCCAAACTGCTGAATGAAATGTTTCTCTGTGGATGAATGCACACATCACAAAGAGGTTTCTCAGAGAGCTTCCTTCTAGTTTTTATACCATGATATTCTCTTTTTTGGCCTTAATAAGTTCCCAAAAGTCCATTTGCAGAATGGACAAAAACAGTGTTTCCAATCTGCTGAATCAAAATAAAGCTTTAACTCTGGGAGATTAATGCACACATCACAAAGTAGTTTCTCAGAAAGCTACTTTCTAGTTTTCATCTGAAGATGTTTAGATTTTCACCAAAGACCTCAAAGCTCTCAGAAATATCTCTTTGCAGATTCTACAAAAACAGTGTTTCCAATCTGCTGAATCCAAAGAAAGGATTAACTCTGGGAGTTGAATGCACACATCACATAGCAGTTTCTCAGATATCTTCTGTCTACTTTTTGTCCTGAAATATTCACTTTTTCCTCATTGTCCTCAGTGAGTTTCCAAATGTCCATCCACAGAATGGACAAGAACAGTGTTTCCAAACCAGTGAATGAAAAGAGAAAGTTTAACTCTGTGAGATGAATGCACACATCACAAAGCAGTCTCTCAGATGGCTTCCTTTCAGTTTTTATCCTGTAATATTCATTTTTCACCATTGGCCTCAATGAGCTTCCAAATGTCCATTCATAGCATGGACACAAACAGTGTTTCCAAATATTGAATCCGAAGACAGGTTTAACTGTCTGAGATGAATGCAGACATCACAAATCAGTTACACAGAAATCTTCTTTCTAGATTTTATCTGAAGATGTTACCTTTTCTACCATAGACCTCAATGCTCTCTGAACTATACCTTTGCAGATTGTACAAAAACAGTGTTGCCAAACTGTTGAATCCAAAGGAAGGTTTCTTTCCATGACATGAATGCACGTATCAGAAAGCAGTTTCTCAGAAAGCTTCTTTCTAGTTTTTATCTGAAGATTTTTCTTTTACACCACAAGCCTCAAGGTTATCCAAAATATCTCTTTGCAGATTCTACAGAAACAGTGTTTCCAAACTGCTGAATGAAAAGAAAAATTTAACTCTGCAATATGAATGCACACGTCACATAGCAGTTTCTCAGAAAGCTCTTGTCTACTTTATACCCTGGGATATTCACTTTTTCACCATTGGCCTCAAGGAGCTCCCAAATGTTCATTTGCAGAATGGAAAAAAATCAGTGCTTCTAAATGGCTGAGTCCAAATAAAGTTTTAACTCTGTGAGACGAATACACATAAAAAAGCAGATACAAAGAAAGCTTCTCTCTTGTTTTTATCTGAAGATGTTTCATTTAACCATAGGCATCAATGTTCTCTGAAATATCCCTTTGCAGATTCTACAAAAACAGTTTTACCAAACTGCTGAATGAAAAGAAAGGTTTAATTCTATGAGATGAAAACATATATCATAAAGAGGTTTCTTATAAGGCATCTCTCTAGTTTTTATGTGAAGTTATTTCCTTTTTCACCATAGGTTTCAATGTCTCCGAAATATACTTTTGCAGATTCTAGAAAAACACTGTTTCCAAACTGCTGTATGAAGAGAAATACTTACCTCTGTGGGATAAATGCACAAATAACAAACCTGTTTCTCAGATAGCTTCCTTCTTGTTTTGTTCCTGGGATATTTCCTTTTTTGCAATTCCTTCAATGAACTCCCAAATTTCCATTCACAGAATGGACAAAAACAGTGTTTCCAAATTGCTGAATCCAAAGAAAATTTTAACGCTTTGAGATGAATGCACACATCACAAATCGGTTTCTCAGATAGCTTCCTTTTAGTTTTTATCATGGGATACTTGTTTTTTTGCCATTGGCCTCAACGAGCTCCCAAATATCCAATCACAGAATGGACAAAAACAGTGTTTCCAAACTGCTGAATCCAAGGATATGTTTAACTCTGTGAGATGTACGCACACATGACAGAGCAGTTTCTCAGAAAGATTCTTTCTAGTTTTTATCTGAAGATGTCTCCTTTTTCAACATTAGCCTTAATGCTCTCCAAAATATCCCTTTGTAGATTCTACAAAAGCAATCTTTGCAAACTGCTGAATGAAAAGAAAGATTTATCTCTGTGTGATAAAAGCACACATAACATAGCATTTATCAAGAAGATTCTTTCTAGTTTTTATGAGAAGATGTTTTCTTTTTCAATATTGGTCTCAATGCTCTCCAAAATATCCCTTTGCAGATTCTACAAAAACACTCTTTCCAAACTGCTGAATGAAAAGAAATATTTAACTCCATGTGAGAAATGCACACATAACAGCATTTCTCAGGTAGATTTTGTCTAGTTTTTATCTTGGGATATTGGCTTTTTCACCATTGGCCTCAAAGAGCTCCCAAATGTCCATTTGCAGAATGGAAAAAAACAGTGTTTCCAAACTGCTGAATGAAAAGAAATGTTTACATCTGCAAGATGAATGCACACATCAAAAAGAAGTTTCTCAGAAATCTTCTTTCTAGTTTTTCTAAAGATGATTCTTTTTTAACTCATGCCTCAAGTCTCTCTGAAATATCCCTTTGCAAATTCTACAAAAACAGTGTTTCAAAACTTCTGAATGAAAAGAAAGTTTTAACTCTGTGAGATGAATGCACACATCACAAAGCGGTTTCTCACATAGTTTCCTTCAAGTTTTTATCCTGGGATATTCACTTTTTCACTATTGGCCTCAATAAGCTCCTAAATATCCACTCGCAGAATGGACAAAAACTGAGTTTCCATACTGCTGAATCGAAAGAAAGTTTTAACACTGTGAGATGAATGCACACATCACAAACAGTTTCTTAGAAATCTTCTTTCAAGATTTTATCTGAAGATGTTTCCTTTTTCACCAGAGGCATGAATGTTCTCCAAAGTATCCCTTTGCAGATTCTACAAAACAGTGTCTCAAAACTGCTGAATGAAAGAAAAGTTTTAACTCTGTGAGATGAATGCGCACATCAGAAAGCGGTTTCTCTGAAAGATTCTTACTACTTTTTATCAGAAGATGTTTCCTATCTCACCATAGGCCTCAATGCTCTCTGAAATATCATTTTACAGATTCTAAAAAAACAGTCTTTCGAAACTGCTGAATGAAAAGTTGGTTTCAATCTGTGAGATGAATGCACACATCACATAGCTGTTTCTCATATGTCATTGGTGTAGTTTTTATCCTGCTATATTAACTTTTACAACACTGGCCTCAAAGAGCTCCCAAATGTCCTTCACAGAATGGGCAGAAATAGTGTTTCCAAACTGCTGAATCCAAAGAAGGTTTACATCTGTGAGATGATGGACACAGCACAAAATAGTCTCTCAGAAAGCATCTTTCTCATTTTTACCTGAGATGTTTCCTTTTGCACTGTAGACCACAATGCTCTCCGAAATATCCCTTTACAGATTCTGTAAAAGCAGTGTTTCCAACTGCTGAATGAAAAGAAATGTTTAACTCTGTGAGATGAATGCACACATCACACAACAGTTACTCAGATAGCTTCTTTCTAGTTTTTAATCCTGGGACATTCACTTTTTTGCCATTGGGGCCAATGAACTCTCAAATGTCCATTCACAGAAGGGACAAAAACAGTGTTTCCAAACTCCTGAATCCAAAGAAGAGTTTAACTCCGTAAGGTGAATGGACACATCATGAAGTAGTTTCTCAGAAAGCTTCTTTGTAGTTGTCATCTGAAGATGTTTCCTATTTCACCATAGGCCTGAAGGCTCTCTGAAATATCCCTTTGTAGATACTACAAAAACAGTGTCTCCAAAATGCTGAATGAAAAGAAAGGTTTAACTCTGTGAATAAATTCACACATCACAAAGCGGTTTTCCAGATAGCCTCCTTCTAGTTTTTATACTGGGATATTTTCTTTTTCACCATTGGCCTCAAAGAGCTCCAAATATCCATTTGCAGAATGGACAAAAACATTGTTTCCAAACTGCAGAATTGAAAGAAAGGTTTAAGTCTGTGAGATGAATGCAAACATCACAATGTAGTTTCTCAGAAAGCTTCTTTCTAGTTTTTATGTGAAGATGTTTCCTTTTTCAACATAGGCCTCAATGCTCTCTGAAATATCCCTTTTCATATTCTACAAAAACAGTTTTTCCTACCTGCTGAATGAAAAGATGGGTTTGCCTCTGAGAGGTGAATGCACACATCACATAGCACTTTCTCAGATAGCTTTCTCCTAGTTTTTATCCTGGGATATTGGCTTTTTCACCATTGGTCTCCATGAGCTCCATAATTTCCATTCACAGAATGGACAAAAACAGTGTTTCCACACTGCTGAACACAAAAAAAGGATTAACTCTGTGAGATGACTGTATCCCTCACATAGCAGTTTCTAAGATAGATTCAGTCCAGTTTTTTCCTGGGATATTTGCTTTTTCGCCATTGGCCTCAATTAACTCCTAAATGTCCATATGCAGAATGGACGAAAACAGTGTTTTCAATCTGCTGATTACAAAGAAAGGTTTAACTATGTGAGATGAATGCACACATCACAAAGCGGTTTCTCAGATAGCTTCCTTTTAGTTTTTATCCTGGGATATTCACTTTTTCACCATTGGCATCAATGAGCTCTGAAATGTCCATTCACAGAATGGACAAAAACACTTTCCAAGCTACTGAATACAAAGAATGGATTAACTCTGTGAGATAAATGCACACGTCACAAAGCAGTTTCTCAGAAAGCTTCTTTCTAGTATTTTTCTGAAGATGTTTCTTTCTAGTTTTTATCTGAAGATGTATCCTTTTCCACCATAGCCCTCATTGCTCTCCAAAATATCCCTTTGCGGATTCTAGAAAAACAGTGTTTCCAAGTTGCTGAATCCCAAGGAAGGTTTAACTCTGTGAGATGAATGCATTCATCACAAAGCAGTTTCTCAGAGAGTTTCTTTCTAGTTTTTATCTGAATATGTTCCCTTTTTCACCATCGGCCTCAAAGTGCTTCCAAATACCCCTTCACACATTCTACAAAAACAGTGTTTCCCAACTGATGAAGGAAATGAAAGATTTTCCTCTGTGAGATGAATACCCACATCAGAAATCGTTTTCTCAGGTAGTATCCTTCTGGTTTTTATCCTGGAATATTCCCTTTTCACCAGTTGCCTCAGTGAGCTCCCAAATGTCCATTCTGTGAATGGACAAAAACAGTGTTTCCAAAAAAGTGAATCCAAAGAAAGGTTTAACTCTGGGAGATGAATGCAAACATCACAAAGTAGTTTCTATGAATTTTTCTTTCAAGTTTTTTTCTGAAGATGTCTCCTGTTTCACCATGGGCCTCTATGAGCTCCCAAATATGCCTTCACAACTTCTAAAAAAATAATCTTTCCAAACTGCTCAATGAAAAGAAAGGTTAACCTCTGTGAAATGAATGCACACACCACAAAGTGGTTTATCAGATAGCTTCCTTCTAGTTTATATTCTGGAATAGTCACTTTTTCACCATTGGCCTCAATGAGCTCCCAAATGTCCATTCACAGAAAGGACAAACACAGTGTTTCCAAACTGCTGAATCCAAAGACGGGTTTAACTCTCTGAGCTGAATGAACACAACGTGAAGCAGTTTTTCAGAAATTTTTTTCTACTTTTCATCTGAAGATGTTTCCTTTTTTCTCATGGGCCTCAATACACTCCCAAATATCCCTTGGCAGATTCTAAAAAACAGTGTTTCCAAACTGCTTAATGAAAAGAAAGTTTTAGCTCTGTCAGGTGAATGCACACATCACAAAGTGGTTTCTCAGATAGCTTCCTACTAGTTTTTATCCTGGCATATTTGCTTTGTCTCTTTGGTCTCAATGAGCTCCCAAATGTAGACTTGCAGAATGGACAAAAACAGTGTTTCCAAACTGCTGAATCCCAAGAAAGGTTAACTCTATGAGATGAATGCACACATCACAAAGCAATTTCTCAGACAGCTTCTTTATTGTTTTTATCTGAACATGCTTCTTTTAACCATAGGCCTCAATGCACTCCCAAATATCCCTGAGTAGATTGTACAAAAACATTGTTTACAAACTGCTGAATGAAAAGAAAGGCTTTACTGTGTGAGATGAATGCACACATCACAAAGTGGTTTCCCAGAAATCTCCTTTCTTTTTTTAATCTGAAGTTATTTCCTTTTTCACCATAGGCCACATGTGCTCACAAATATCCCTTCACAGATTCTACCAAAAATGTGCTTCCAAACCTATCAATCAAAAGAAAGTTTTAATACTGTAAGATGAATGCATCCATCAGAAAGCAGTTTCTGAGAAACCTTCTTTCCTGTTTTTATGTGAAGATATTTCCATTTTCACCATAGGCTTCAATGTGCTCCTATGTATAACTTTGCAGATTGTATAAAAACAGTGTTTCTGAACTGTTACATCAAAAGAAGTATTTAATTCTGTGAGATGAATGCACACATTGGAAAGCAGCTTCTCATAACGCTTCTATCCAGTTTTTATCTGAAGCTATTTCATTGTTCACCATAGGCCTTTTGTGCAACAAAACATCGCTTCACAGATTATACAAAAACAGTGTTTCCAAACTGCTCAGTGAAAAGAAAATTTTAACTCTGTGAGTTGAATGCATACATCTCAAAGCAATTTCTCAAAAAGCTTCTTTCTAGTTTTCATCCAAAGATATTTCCTTTTTCACCATAGGCATCAGTTTGCTCCCAAGTATCCCTTTGCAGATTCTACATAAACAGTGTTCCCAAAGTGCTCAACCAAAAGAAACGTTTTGCCCTGTGAGAAGAATGCTCACATCACAAAGTGATTCCTCAGAAAGCTTCTTTCTAGTTTTTATCTAAAGTTATTTCCTTTTTCATCATAGGCCTTGTATGTTCCCAAATATCCCTTTGCAGATTCTACAACTTTGCAGTTTCCAAACTGGTCAATCAAAGAAAAGGTTTAACTCTGAGATGAATGTGCACATCAGAAAGCAGTTTCTCAAAAGTATTCTTTCTATTTTTTTTCCAATGTTATTTTCATTTTCCACCATTGGCTTCAAAGTGCTCCCAAGTATCCCTTCACAGATTCTACAAAAACAGTCTTTCCAAACTGCTCAGTGAAAAGAAAATTTTACCTCTGTGAGATGTATGAACTCATCAAAAAGCAGTTTCTCAGAGAGTTTCTGTCTACTTCTTCTCTGAATATATTTCCTTTTCCACCATAGACCTCAATGCACTCCCAAATATAACTTCACAGATTCTACAAAAACAGTGTTTCCAAGTGGTTCCATCAAAAGAAGGGTTTAACTCTGAGAGACGAATGCACACTTCAGAAAGCAGTTTCTCATAGTGCTTCTTTCCAGTTTTCATCAGAAGATATTTTCTTGTTCACCACAGGCTTTTTTTCGCTACATGATATTGCTTCGCAAATTTTTCAAAAACAGTCAACAGCTCAGTCCAAAGAAAGGTTTAACTCTGTGAGATGAATGTACGCATCACAAAGCAATTTCTCAATAAGATTCTTTCTAGTTTTTATCTGAAGATATTTCTTTTATCATCGTAGGCTTCAATGTGCAGCGAAATAGCTCATCGCAGATTCTGCAAAACACTGTTTCCAAACTGCTCACTCAAAAAACTGGTTTAACTCTGTGAGTTGAACGCCCAAATCACAAAGCAGTTTCTCAAAAAGTTTCTTTCTATTTTTATCCGTAGATTTTCCGTTTTTCACCATAGACCTCAGTGCACTCTGAGATATCCCTTTGCAGATTCTACAAAAACAGTGTTTCCAAACTGCTCAATCAAAAGAAACTTTTAACTCTCTGAGATGAATGCACACATGACAGAACAGTTTCTTGGATAGCTTCTGTCTAGTTCTTCTCAGAAGATATTCCTTTTTCCACTATATGCCTCATTGCTTTCCCAAATATCCCTTCCCAGATTGTATAAAAACAGTGTTTCAGAACTGTCCCATCAAAAGATGGACTTAACTGAGTTAGATAAATGCACACATCAGAAAGCAGTTTCTCATAATGCTTCTTTCAAGTTTTTATCCAAAGATATTTCATTTATCACCTTAGGCTTCAATGCACTCCCTAATGTCCCTCCTCAGATTCTACAAAACCACGTTTTACAAACTGCTCAATCAAAGAAAGATTTAACTCTGTGATATGAATACACACAACACAAAGCAGTTTCTCAGGGAACTTCTGTCCAGTTCTTCAATGGAGATATTTCCTTTTCCACCTTAAGCCTCAATGCACTTGCAAATATCCCTTTGCAGATTCTATAAAAACAGTTTCTGAACTGTTCCATCAAAAGAAGGATTTAACTACCTGAGGAGAATGTGCACAGCAGAAAGCAGTTTCTCCTAACGCTTCTTTCCAGTTTTTATCTGAAGATATTACCTTGTTTTCCATAGGCCTTTTTGTGCTACCTATCATCACTTCGCAGATCATACAGAAACAGGTTTCCAAACTGCTCAGTCAAAGGATAGTTTAACTTTGTTGGATGAATTCACACATCACAAAGCCATTTCTCATAAAGCTTCTTTCTATTTTTATTTGAAGATTTTCCTTCATCACCATAGGATTTAATGTGCTCCCAAATATCCCTTCACATATACTACAAAAACATTGTTTCCAAACTGATCCTTCAAAAGAAAGGTTTAACTCTGTGAGATGAATGCACACATCACAAAGCAGCTTCTCAGTAAGATTCTGTCTAGTTCTTCTCTGAAGACATTTCCTTTTCCAGCGTAGGCCTCAGTGCACTCACAAATATCCCTTCGCAGATTCTACAAAACCTGTTTCTAAACTGTTCCATCAAAAGAAGCATTTAACTATGTGAGAAGAGCACACACATCAAAAAGCAGTTTCTCATAATGCTTCTTTCCAGTTTTTATCTGAAGATATTTATTTTTTCACAAATGGCTTTTTTGAGATACCTAATATCATTTCACAGATTTTGCGAAAACAGTGTTTCCAAACAGCGTTTCCAAACAGCTCAGTAAAAGGAAAGGTTTAATTCTGTGAGATAAATGCACACGACACAAAGCAGTTTCTCAAAAAGTTTCTTTCTATTTTTTATCCGAAGATATTCCATTTTTCATCATAGGCATCAGTGCACTCCCAAATATCCCTTTGCAGATTCTAAAACAAAAAGGTTCCAAACTGCTCAATAAAAAACAGTTTTAACTCTGTGAATTGAATGCACATATCAAAAATCATTTTCTCTAAAAGCTGCTTTCTAGTTTTTATTCAAAGATATTTCCTTTTTCACCCTAGGTGTCAGTGTGCTCCCATATATCCCTTAGCAGATTTTACAAAAACAGTGCTTCCAAACTGTTCCATCAAAAGTACGACTTACTTCTGTGAGATGAATGCACACATCAGAAAGCAGTTTCTCATAACACTTTTTTCCAGTTTTTATCTGAAGGTACTTCCTTGTTCACCATAGTCTTTTTTGCATGCTACTTAATATCACTTCACAGATTTTGCAAAAACAGTCTTTCCAAACTGCTCCATTAAAAGAAAATTTTATCTCTGTGATATTAATGCACACATTACACATCAGTTTCCTAAAAAGCTTCTTTCTAGTTTTTATCCCAAGATATTTTCTTTTTCACCATAGGCCTCAGAGTGCTGCAAAATATTCCTTTCCAGTTTCTACAAAAACCGTGTTTCCAAACTGCTCAATCAAAAGAAAGGTTTAACTCTGTGAGATGAATGCACATATCACAAAGCAGTTTCTCTGATACCTCCTGTCTAGTTCTTCTCTGAAGATATTTCCTTTTCCACCATAGTCCCTACTGTACTCCCAAATATCCCTTCACAGATTCTACAAAACCAGTGTTTCCAAACTGTTCCATCAAAAGAAGAACTTAACTCTGTGAGATGAACAGACCCATCATAAAGCAGTTTCTCAGAAAGCTTCTTTCTTTTTTTTTGACTTGAGTCATTTCCTTTTTCACTGTGGGCCTCAATGTGCTCCAAAATAAGCCTTCGCAGATTCTGCCAAAGGGTGCTTGCAAATGTCTTCATCAAAGGAAAAATTTAACACTGTTAAATGAATTCACACATCAGAAATCAGTGTCTCAGAAGGCGTCTTTCCAGGTTTTTTTCTGAAGATACTTCCTTTTTCACCATAGGCATCTTTGCGCTACCTAATATCCTGTCTCAGATGCTACAAAAACAGTGTTTCTAAACTGCTTAATCAAAAAACAGGTTTAGCTCTGTGAGTTGCAGGCACGCATCACAAAGCTGTTTCTCAGGAATCTTCTTTCATAATTTTATCTAAAGATATTTCCTCTTTCACCATAGGCTTCAGTGCACTCCCAATTATCCCTTCACAGATTCTAAAAAAACTGTGTTTCCAAACTGCTCAGGAAAAACAAAGGTTTTACTCTGTGAGATGAATGCATGCATCTCAAAGCGGATTCTCAAAAAGCTTCTTTCTAGTTGTTATTCAAACATCTTTCCTTTTTCATCATAGGCTTCAATGCACTATGAAATATCCTTTCGCAGATTCTACGAAAACAGTGTTTTCAAAATAATCAATCAAAAGAAAGGTTTTACTCTGTGAGATGAATGCACCCATCACAAAGCAGTTTATCAGACAGCTTCTGTCTGGTTATTCTCTGAAGATATTTCCTTTTCCACCATAGGCCTCAATGTGCTCCCAAGTGTCTCTTTGCAGAGTCTACAAAACACTGGGTTTCCGAACACTTCCATCAAAAGAAGGATTTAACTCTGTGACGTAAAGGCACACATCAGAAAGCATTTTCTCATAACACTTCCTTCCAGTTTTTATCTGAAGACATTAATTTGTTCACCATAGGCCTTTTTGTACAACACAACATCACTTTGCAGATTATACAGAAACAGTGTTTCCAAACTACTAAGTCAAAAGAAAAGTGTAACTCTGTGAAATGAATGCATACATTAAAAAAGCAGTTTCTCAAAGAGCTTCTTTCTAGTTTTTAACTGATGACATTTCCTTTTTCACCATAAGCATCAGTGGTGTCCCAAATATCCCTTTGCAGATTCTACAAAAACAGTGTTTCCAAATGCCTCAATCAAAAGAAATCTTTAACTTTCTGAGATGAATGCACACATTACAAAGCTGTTTCTCAGAAAGCTTCTTACTTGTTTTTATCTGAAAATAATTCCTTTTTCACCATAGGCTTCTGTGTGCTCCCAAATATCCCTTTGAAGATTCAACAAAAACAGTATTTCCAAACTGCTCAATCAAAAGAAAGTTTAAACTCTGTGAGATGAATGCAAACATCACAAAGCAGTTTCTAAAAAAGCTTCTGTTTAGTTTTTCTCTGAAGACATTTCTTTTTCCACCATATGCCTCAATGCGTTCCCAAATATCCCTTTGCAGATTATACAAAAACAGTGTTTCCAAACTGTTCCATCAAAAGAAGGACTTAACTCTATGAGATGAACATGCACATCAGAAAGCAGATTCTCATAACCTTTCTTTCCAGTTTTTCTCTGAAGATATTTACCAGTGCACCATGGACATTTTTGGGCTACTTAACATCACTTCACAGATTATACAGAAAAAGTGTTTCCAAACTGCTCAGTCAAAAGAAAAGTTTAACTTTGTGAGATGAATGCATACATCACAAATCAGTTTCTCAGAAAGTTTCTTTCTAGTGTTTATCTAAAGTTGTTTCTCTTTTCACCATAGGGCTTCTGTGCTCCCAAATATCCCTTTGCAGATTCTAGAAAAACAGTGTTTCCAAACTACTGAATCAAAAGAATGTTTCAGTTCTGTGCAGTGAATGCACACATCACAAAACAGTTTCTCAGAAGGCTTCTTTCTAGTTTTCATCCGAAGAAAATTTCTTTTTCACCATAGGCCTCAGTGGCTTTCAAATAACTCTTTTAAGATTCTACATATACAGTGTTTACAAACTGATCAATCAAAGGAAATGTTTAACTCAGTGAAAGGAATGCACACATTACAAAACTGTTTCCCAGAAAACTTCTTTCATGTTTTTATCTGAATTAATTTCCTTTTCCACCAAAGGCCTCTTGTGCTCCCAAATATCCCTTGGCAGATTCTACAAAACACTTTTTCCAAACTGCTCCATCAAAAGAAAGGTTTACCTCTGTGAGGTGAATACACACATCACAAGGCAGTTTCTCAGAATCTTTCTGTCTAGTTGTCCTCTGAAGTTATTTCATTTTCCACCATAGGCCTCAATGTGATCCCAAATATTCCTTTGCCTATTCTACAAAAACACTATTTCCAAACTGTTTCATGGAAAGAAGGATTTAACTCTGTGAGATGAAAGCACTAATCTGAAAGCAGTTTCTCATAATGATTCTTTCCAGGTTTTATCTAAAGATATTTCCTTGTTCACCATAGGCCTCTCAGTGCTACATAACATGGCTTCACAGATTATCCAAAAAGAGTGTGTACATACTGCTCAGTCAAAAGAAAAGTTTAACACTGTGAGATGAATGCAAGCAACATCAAGCAGTTTCTCACAAAGCTTCTTTCTAGTTTTTATCAGAAGTCATTTCCTTTTTCACCATAGGATCAGTGTGCTCCAAAATATCCCTCTGCAGGCTCTAAAAAAAAGTTTTTCCAAACTACTCAATCAAAGAAATTGTTAACTCTATGAGATTAATGCATACATCACAAAGCAGTTTCTCAGAAAGCTTCTTTCTGATTTTTATCTGAAGTTATTTCCTTTTTCACCATAGGCCTCGTGTGCTAACAAATATCCCTTCACAGATTCTACCAAATGTGTTTACAAGCTGATCAATCTAAAGAGAGGTTTAACTCTGTGAGATCAATGCACACAACACAAAGCAGTTTCTCACTATGCTCCATTTTCGTTTTTATCCAAAGGTATTTCCTTTATTACCATAGGCCTCAATGTGCTCCCAAATATGCATTTGCAGATTCTACAAAAACAGTGTGTCCAAACTGATCAATCAAAAGAGACGTTTAACTCTCTGAGATAAATGCACACGTCACAAAGAAATTTCTCAAAAAGCTTCTTTCTAGTTTTTATGTGAAAATATTTTCTTTATCACCATAGGCTTCAATGCTCTCCCAAATATCCTGTCACACACTCTACAAAAAATAGTGTTTCCAATCTGCTCAATCAAAAACAGGTTTAAATCTTGCAGTTAAATGCACACATCACAAGACATTTCTCAAAAAGCTTCTTTCTAGTTTTTATCTGAAGATATTTCCATTTTCACCACAGGCCTCAGTGCACTCCCAGCTATATCTGTGCAGATTCTACAAAAACAGGGTCTCCAAAATGCTCAAACAAAAGAAAGGTTTAACTCTGTGAGATGAATACACACATCATAAAGCAGTTTTTCAGAAAGCTTCTGTCTAGTTCTTCTCTGAAGATATTTCCTTTTCCACCATAGGCATAAATGCACTCCCAAATATTCCTTCGCAGACTCTGCAAAAAAAGTGTTTCCAAACTGTTCAAACAAGAGACATTTAACTCTGTGAGATGAACACCCACATCAGAAAGGAGTTTCTTCTAATGCTTCTTTCCAGTTTTTATCTGAAGATATATACTTGTTCACCATAGGCCTTTTTGTGCTACCTAACATCTCTTCACAGATTATACACAAACAGTGTTTCCAAACTGCTCAGTCAAAAGAAAGGTTTAACTCTGTGAGATGAATGCATACATCACGAAGCAGTTTCTCAAAAATCTTTCTAGATTTTAATGAAGATATTTCCTTTTTCACCCTGGGCATCATTGGGTCCTGAAATATCCCTTTGCAGATTCTACAAAAACAGTATTTCCAAACTGCTCAATCAAAAGAAACGTTTAATTCTTTAAGAAGAATGCACACATCACAAAGCAGTTTCTCAGAAAGCTTCTTTCTAGTTTTTATTTGAAGTTATTTCCTTTTTCACCATAGGCCTCGTGGACTCCCAAATATCCCTTCACAGATTCTACAAAAGTAGAGTTTCCA
Organism: Homo sapiens; assembly: GCF_000001405.40. NCBI lineage: Eukaryota > Metazoa > Chordata > Mammalia > Primates > Hominidae > Homo > Homo sapiens. Next base: position 375,677 of record NW_011332694.1, read on the forward strand.
AACTGATCAATCAAAAAAAGTTGTAACTCTGTCAGATGGATGCATACATAACAAACAGCTTCTCAATAAGCTTCTTTCTAGTTTTTATCAAAAGATATTTCCTTTTTCTCCATAGGCTTCAATGAGCTCTCAAGTATCACTTTGCAGATTCCACATAAACAGTTTTTCCAAACTGCTCAATCAAAAGAAAGGGTTAACTCTATGAGTTGCATGCATACATCATAAAGCAGTTTCTCAGAAATCTTCTCTCTAGTTCTTCTCTGAATATATTTCATGTTCCACCATAGGCCTCAGTGCACTCCCAAATATCCCTTCTCAGATTCTACAAAAAAAAGCGTTTCCAAAACTTTTCCATGAAGAGAAGGACTTAACTCTGTGAGATGAATGCAAACATCAGAAAGCAGTTTCTCATAATGCTTCTTTCTACTTTTTATCTGAAGGTATTTCCTTGTTCACCAAAGGCTTTCTTGCACTACAAAATATCACTTCACAGATTTTGCAAAACACTGTTTCCAAACTGCTCATTCAAAAGAAAGTTTTAACTCTGTCAGATGAATGCACACATCACAAAGTGGTTTCTCAAAGTGCTTATTTCTCATTTTTATCTGAATATATTTCTTTTATCACCATAGGCTTCTATGCACTCCCAAATATCCTGTCACAGATTCAACAAAAACAGTGTTTCCAAACTCTTCAATCAGAAAACAGATTATCTCCTTTGAGTCAAATGCACACATCACAAAGCCATTTCTTAAAAAGCTTCTTTTTAGTTTAAATAAAAACTAAAGGTTTTGAAGATTTTCCTTTTTCTCCATAGGCCTCAGTGCACTCCAAACTATACATTTGCATATTTACAAAAACAGTGTTCCAATCTGCTAAATAACAAGAAAGGTTTTACTCTGTCAGAAGAATGCACACATCACAGTTTCTTAGATAGCTTCTGTATAGTTTTTCTCTGAAGATAGCTCCTTTTCCACCATAGCCCTCCCAAAAATGTATACTCCCAAAAATCCCTTCACAGATTGTACAAAAACAGAGTTTCCAAACAGTTCCATCAAAAGGACTTAACTCCGTGAGATGAATGCACATATCAGAAAGCAGTTTCTCATAATGCTTCTTTCTATTTTTTATCTGAAGATATTTCCTTTTTTACCATAGGCCTCTGCACTCCCAAATATAGCTTTGCAGATTCTACAAAAAGATGTTTCCAAACTGCTCAATCAAAAGAAAGGTTTACTTCTGTGAGATGTATGTACACATCACAAAGCAGTTTTTCAGATAGCTTCTGTCTAGTTTTTCTCTGAGGATATTTTCTTTTTCACTATAGACTTCAATATGCTCACAAATATCCCCTTGCAGGGTCTACAAAAACTGTGTTTCCAAACTGCTTAATCCAAAGAGGGTTTAGCTCTGTGAGATGACTGCACACAGCACAAAGCAGTTTCTCATAAAATTTCTTTGCAGTTTTTACCCAAAGATATTTCCTTGTTCACCATAGGCCTTTTTGCACTACCTAACTTCCCTTCACAGAGTCTACAAAAAAGGTGTTTCCAAACTGCTCAATCAAAAGAAAAGTTTTGCTCTGTGAGATGAATGCACAGATCACAAAGCAGTTTCTCAAAATACTTCTTCCTAGTTTTCAACCGAAGATAGTTCCTTTTTCACCATAGGCTTCAATGTGCTCCCAAATGCCCCTCCACAGATTCTACAAAAACAGTGTTTCCAAACAGCTCAATCAAAAGAAACTTTTAACTCTCTGAGATGACTGCACACATCACAAAGCAATTTCTCATAAAACTTCTGTCTAGTTCTCTGAAGATATTTCCTTTTCCACTGTAGGCCTCAATGTGCTCCCAAATATCCCTTCGCTGATTCTACAAAATAAGTGTTTAGAAACTGTTCCATCAAAAGAAGGACTTAACTCTGTGATATGAATGCACACTTCAGAAAGCAGTTTCTCATAACGCTTCTTTCCAGTTTTTTTCTGAAGATATTTCCGTGTTGATCAAGGGCTATTTTGCGGTATCTATTATTGCTTTGCAGATTTGCAAAAACAGTGTTTCCAAACTGGTCAGTCAAAAGAAAGGTTTAACTCTGTGAAATGAATGTACACATCACAAAGAACTTTCTCAAAATGCTTCTTTCTAATTTTTATTCTAAGATATTTCATTTATCACCATAGGCTTCAATGCACTCCCAAATATCCAATCACATATTCTACAAAGAGATTGTTTCTTAACTGCTCAATCAAAAACCAGATTTAACTCTGTGAGTTGAGTGCACACATAACAAAGCAGTTTCACAAAAAATTTCTTTCAAGTTTTTATCCAAAAATATTTTCTTTTCCACCATAGGCCTCAGTGGGCTCCCAAATATACCCTTGCAGATTCTACAAAAACAGCGTAGAACCTGTTCCATCAAAACTGCACAGTTTTTGTCTGAAAACCAAACTGCACAATCAAAAGAAAGTTTTAACTCTGTCAGATGAATGCACACATCAGAAGCAGTTTCTTATAATGCTTCTTTCCTGTTTTTATGTGAAAATATTTCCTTTTTCACAATAGGCTTTTTTTCCTACCTTATATTGCATTACAGATTTTGCAGAAACAATTTTTCCAAACCTCTCAGTCAAAAGATAGGTTTAACTATGTGAGATGAATGCCCAAATCACAAAGCAGTTTCTCAAAAACTTCTTTCTAGTTTTTATCCAAAGGGATTTCCTTTACTGCCATAGGCTTCAATGCACTCCCAAATATCCTGTTTCAGATTCTACAAAGAGAGTGTTTCCAAACTGTTCAATCAAAAAACAGGTTTAACTCTGTGAGGTGAATGCATACATCACAAAGCAGTTTCTCAATAAGCTTCTTTCTAGTTTTAATCCGAATGTATTTCCTTTTTCAATATAGGCCTCTGTGCACTCCCAAATATACCTTTGCAGATTCTATAAAAACAGTGTTTCCAAACTGCTCAATCAAAAGAAATGTTTAACTATATCAGATGAATGTACACATCATAAAGCAGTTTCTCTGATAGCTGCTGCTTCTGTGAAGATATTTCCTTTTCCAACATATGCCTCAATGTGCTTCCAAATATTCCTTTACCAATTCTATGAAAACAGCTTTTCCAATCTGTTCCATCAAAGGAAGGATTTTACACTGTGAGATGAATGCACATGTCAGAGAGCAGTTTCTCTTAATGCACCTTTCCAGTTTTTATCTGAAGATGTTTCCTTGTTCACCATAGGCCTTTTTGGGATATGTAACATTACTTCCTAGATTATAGAAAAACTGTGTTTCCAAACTGCTAAGTCAAAAGAAAAGTTTAACTCTGTGCGATGAATGCACACATCACAAAGCAGTTTCTCAGATAGCTTCTGTATAGTTCTTCTTTGGAGATATTCCCTTTTCCACCATAGGCCTCAATGCGCTCCCGAGTATCCCTTCACAGATTCTATAAATACTGTGTTTCCAAACTCTTCCACCAAAACAATGATTCAACTCTCTGAGATGAGTGCACACATCAGAAAGCAGTTTCTCATAATGCTTCCTTCCAGTTTTTATTGAAGATATTTCCAGTTCACCATAAGCCATCTTGCGCTACCAAACATTGCTTCACAGATTATGCAGAAACAGTGTTTCCAAACTGTTCCATCAAAAGAAGGACTTAACTCTGTGAGATGAATGCACACATCTGAAAGCAGTTTCTCATAATGCTTCTTTCCAGTGTTTATCTGATGATATTTCCTTTTTCAGCATAGGCTTTTTTGTGTTGCCTAATATTGCTTTGCAGATTTTCAGAAAAAAAAAAGGGTTTCCAAACTGCTCAGGCAAATGAAAGTTTTAACTCTCTGAGTCAAACACACACATCACAAAGTAGTTTCTCTGAAAGCTCCTTTATAATTTTTATCTGGAGATATTATTACCTTTTTCAGCATAGGCCTCAATGAGCTCCCAAATAACCCTTCGTAGATACTGCCAAAGGGGTGTTTCCAAACGGCTCCAGCAAAGGAAAGATTTAACACTGTGAAATGTATGCAGACATCACAAATCAGTGTCTCAGAAAGATTCTTTCCACTTTTTAAATTAAGATATTTACTTTTTCACCATAGGCCTCTTTGAACTCCCAAATATCACTTTGTAGATTATACAAAAACAGTGTTTCCAAACTGCTGTATCAAAAGAAATGTTTAATTCTGTGAGATGAATGCATACATCTGAAAAAGTTTCTCAAAAATTTCTTTGTAGTTTATATCTGAAGATACTTCATTTTTCACCATTGCCTTCTATGAGCTCCCAACAATCCATTCGCAGATCCTACAAAAAGAGGGTTTCCAAACAGCTTAATCAAAATACAGTTTTAATACTGTGAGATGAAAGCACACATCTCAAAGCAGTTTCACAAAAAGTTTCTTTCTAGTTTTTTTCTGTAGATATTTCCTTTTTCACCTTAGGCTTCAATGTGCTCCCAAATATCCCTTCGCAGATTCTACAAAACCAGTGTTTGCAAAGTGCTCAATCAGAAGAAATGCTTAACTCTGTGAGATGAATGCACACATCATGAAGGAGTTTCAAAGAAAGCTTCTGTCTAGTTCTTCAATGAAGATATTTACTTTTCCAGCTTACACCTCTATGTGCTCCCAAATATGCCTTCACAGATTCTACAAAAACAATGTTTACAAACTGTTCCATCAAAAGAAGGACTTAACTCTGTTGGATGAGCACACACAAAAGAAAGCAGTTTCTCACAACCATTCTTTCCAGTTTTGATATGAGGATATTTTGTTTTTCAATCTTGGCTTTTTTGAGCTACAAATGATCACTTCAGAAATTATACAAAAACAGTGTTTCCAAACTACTCAGTGAAAAAAAAGTTTATCTCTGTGAGATGAATGGACACACCACAAAACAGTTATTCAATAAGCTTCATTCTAGTTTTTATTGGAATATATTTCCTTTTTCACCATAGGCCTAACTGTGCTTTCAAATATCCCATAGCAGATACTACAAAAATAGTGTTTCCAAACTGCTCAATCAAAGGAAATGTTTAAATATGTGAGAAGAATGCGCACATCACAAAGTGGTTTCTCAGAAAGCTTCTTTGTAGTTTTTATCTGAAGTTATTTCCTTTTTCACCATAGGCCACCATGTGCTCCCAAATATCTCCTCACAGAGTCTACCAAAACACTCTTTCCAAAGTGCTCAATCAAAAGAAAGTTTTCACTCTGTCAGATGAATGCTCACATCAATTTCTGAGAAAGACTCTTTCTGGTTTTTATCTGGAGATATGTCATTTTTCACTGTAGACCGAAATGCGCTCCCAAATAACTCTTTGCAGTTTCTGCCAAAAGGGTGTTTCCAAATATCTCCATCTAAGGAAAGATTTAACACTGTGAAATGAATGCACACATCACAAACCAGTGTCTCAGAAGGCTTCTTTCCAGTTTTTATCCTAAAATATTTCCTTTTTCACCATAGGCCTCTTTATGCTAAAAAATTTGACTTTGTAGATTATACAAAAACAGTGTTTCCTAACTGCTCTATCAAAAGAAAGGTTTAACTCTGCGAGATGAATGCTCACATCACAAAGCAGTTTCTCAAAAAGCTTCTTTCTAGTTTTTAATCTGAGGATAGTTCTTTTTCCTCCAAAGGCCTCACTGCACCTCCAAATATCCCTGCACAGATTCTACAAAAACGATATTTTCAAACTGCTCTATCAAAAGAAATGTTTAACTCTGTGAGATGAATGCACACACCAGAAAGTAATTTCTCATAATGCTTCTTTCCAGTTTTTATCTGAAGTTATTTCCTTGTTCACCAGAGTCTTTTTTGTGCTATCAAGTATCACCTCACAGAGTTTGCAAAAACAGTGTTTCCAAACTGCTACATCAAAAGAAACGGTAAACTCTGTGAGATGAGTGCCCACTTCACTAAACAGTTTCCCAAAAAGCTTTCTAGTTTTTATGCAAAGATATTGCCTTTTTCAATGTAGGCCTCAGTGCGCTCCCAATTATCCCTTCGCAGTTTCTGTAAAAACAGTGTTTCCAAACTGCTCAATCAAAGGAAAGTTTTAACTCTGTGAGATGAATGTAAACCTCACAAAGAAATTTCTCCAATAGCTTCTGTCTAGTTCTTCTCTGAAGATATTTCATTTTCAATCAGAGGCCTCAATACGCTCCTGTATATTCTTTTGCAGATTCTATAAAACCAGAGTATCTGAACTGTTCCATCAAAACAATGACTACACACTGTGAGATGAATGCACACATCAGAAAGCAGTTTCTCATTATGCTTCTTTCCAGTTTTTATCTGAAAATATTTCCTTGTTCACCATAGGCCTTTTTGGGCTACTTAACATAGTAACCCAGATTGTACAAGAACGGTGTTTGCAAACTTCTCAGTCAAAATAAAAGTTTAGCTCAGTGAGATGAATCATACTTCACTAACAGTTTCTCAAAATTCTTATTTCTATTTTTTATCCGAAGATATTTCCTTTTTTACCATAGACCTCAGTGCGCTCACAAATATCCCTTTGTGGAATCTAAAAAAATAGTGTCCTAAACTGCTCAATCAGAGGAAAGTTTTAACTCTGTGACATGAATGCGTACATAACAAACCAGTTTCTCAGAAAGCTCTGTCCGGTCTCCTCTGAAGATATTTTCTTTTCCACCATAGGCTTCAATGCACTCCCAAATATCCCTTCACAGACTCTACAAAAACAGAGTTTCCAAACAGGTCCATCAAAAAAGACTTAACTCTGAGAGCTGAATGCACACATCAGAAAGCAGTTTCTAATAACGCTTTTTTCTAGTTTTTATCTGAAGATATTTCCTTTTTTGTCACAGGCTTTTATTGCGATACCTAGTATCAATTTTGCAAAAACCGTGTTTCCAAACTGCTCAGTCAAAAGAAAGCTTTAATGTTGTAAGATGAATGCACACATCACAGAGCAGTTGCTCAAATGCTTCTTTCTAGTTTTTATCCAAAGATATATCCTTTTTCACCATAGGCCTAACTGCACTTTCAAATATCCCATTGCAGATTTTACAAAACCAGTGCTTCCAAACTGATCAATCAAAAAACAGGTTTAACACTGTGAATTGAATGCAGACATCACAAAGCAGTTTCTCTAAAAGCACCTTTATTGTTTTAATCTGAAGATATTTTCATTTTTACCATAGGCCTCTGTGTGCTCCCAAATATATCTTTGCAGATTCTATGAAAACATTGTTTTCAAACTGCTCAATCAAAAGAAAGGTTTAATTCTGTAAGATGGATGCACATATCACCAAGCAGTTTCTCAGATAGCTTCTGTCTAGTTTTTCTCTGAAGATACTTCCTTTTTCACTTTAGGAGTCAAAGTGTTCCCAAATAATCATCTGCAGATTCTATAAAAATGGTGTTTCTGAACAGTTCTATTCAATGAAGGATTTAACTGTGTGAGATGAGTGCATAAATAAGAAAGCTGTTTCTCTTAACACTTCATCCCAGTTTTTATCTGAAGATATTTCCTTGTTCACCATAGGCCTCTTTGCCCTACATAATACCACTTCACAGGTAATACAAAAACAGTGTTTCCAAACTGCTCAGTCAAAACAAATGTTTAACTTTATGCGATGAATGCTCACCTCCAAAAGCAGTTTCTCAAACAGGTTCTTTCTAGTTTTTATCTGAAGGTATTTCCTTTTTCACCACAAGCTTCAATGGGTTCCCAAATATCACTTCACAGATTCTGCAAAAAAAGTGTTTCCAAACTGCTCATTCAAAAGAAAGGTTTAACTCTGTGAGATGAATGCACACATCACAAAAGACTTTCTCAGACAGCTTCTATCTAGTTCTTCTCTGAAGATATTTGCTTTCCCACCATAGGCCTCAATGCACTCCCAAATACCCTTTGGAGATTCTACAAAAACATTGTTTCTAAACTGTTCCATCAAAAGAAGGACTTAACTCTGTGAGATGAATGCAACATCTGAAAGCAGTTTCTTATAATACTTCTTTCCAGTATTAATCTGAAGATATTTCCTTTATCAATGTAGGCATTTTTGCACTAATATCGCTTTGCAAATTATACAAAAACAGTGTTTCCAAACTGCTCAGTCAAAACAAAGGTTAACTCTGTGAGATGAATGCACACATCAGAAAGCAGTTACTCAAAAAAATTCTTTCTAGTTTATATTCGAAGATATTTCTTTTTTCACCACCATCCTAACTACTCTTCCAAATATCCCATTGAAGATTTTACAAAAACAGTGTTTCCAAACTGCTCCATAAAGAACAGGTTTAACTCCGTTAGTTGAACACACAAATCACAAAGCAGTTTCTCAGAAAGCTTGTTCCTAGTTTTTATCTGAAGATATTTCTTCTTTCACCATAGGCATCAGTGTGCTCCCAAATATCCCTTCACAGATTATATGAAAACGGTGTTACAAAACAGCTCAATCAACAAAAACGTTTACCTCTGTGAGAAGAATGCAAACATCACAGATCGATTGCTGAGAAAGCTTCCTTCTAGTTTTTATCTGAAGTAATTTCCTTTTTCACCATACACTTTGAATGCTTCCAAATATCCCTTCACAGATTGTACAAAAACAGTGTTTCAAATTGAACAATCAAAAGAAAGGTTTACCACCGTGAGATGAATGCATACATCACACAACAGTTTCTTAGAAAGCTTCTTTCTAGTTTTTATCCGATGATATTTTCTTTTCACCATAGGATTCAATGTGCTCCCAAATATCCCTTCACAGATTCTACAGATACAGGCTGTCCAAACTGCTGAAAATTCTTTTCAGACAAGAAAAGAAAGGTTTAACTGTCTGGAGTGAATGCACACATCACAAAGCAGTTTCTCAGATAGCTTCCTTCCAGGTTTTATCCTGGGATATTCACTGTTTAGCCATTGGCCTCAATGAGTTCTGAAATGTCCATTTGCAGAATGAATGAAAACAGTGTCTCCAAACTGCTAAATCCCAAAAACAGTTTAACTCTGTGATGAGAATGCACACATCTCAAAGCAGTTTCTCAGAAAGCATCTTTCTAGTTTTTATCTAAAGATATTTCCTTTTTCACCGTAGGCCTCAATGCACTCCAAAACATCCCTTTGCAGATTCTACAAATACAGTGTTTCCAAACCGCTGAATGAAAAGAAAGGTTTAACTCTACGATGTGAAAGCACACATCACAAAGCGGTTACTCAGATAGCTTCCTCCTAGTTTTTATCCTGGGCTATTCACTGTTTTGCCATTGGCATCAATGAGCTCCCTAATATCCCTTTGCAGACTCGACAAAAACAGTGTTTTCAAAAAGCTCCATCAGAAGAAAATTTTGTCTCTGTGAGATGAATGCAGACATCAGAAATCAGTTTCTCTGAAATCTTCTTTCTAGTTTTTATCTAAAGATATTTCCTTTTTGGCCATAGGCCTCAATGTGCACCAAAATAGGCCTTTGGAGTTCCTACAAAAACCTTGTTTCCACACTGATCCAACAAAGGAAAGTTTTAACTCTGTGAGATGAATGCACACATCACAAAGTAGTTTCTCAGAAAGCTTTTGTCTAGTTTTTCTCTGAAGATATTTCCTCTGTCAACTTATGCTTCAATGAACTCCAAAATATCCCTTCGCAGATTCTGCAAAAACAAATTTTCAAAACTGCTCAATCACAAGAAATGTTTTACTTTGTAAGATGAATGCACACATTGCAAATCAGTTTCTCAGAAAACGTCTTTATAGTTTTTCTCTTAAGATATTTCCTTTTTCACTATAGGCCTCATTGTGCTCCCAAATATCCCTTTGCAGATTTCACAAAAACAGTGTTTCAAAACTGCTCAATCAAAAGAAAATGTAATTCTGTGAGATGAATGCACACATCACAAAGCAGTTTCTCAGAAAGTTTCTTTGAAGTTTTCATCTGAAGATATTTCCTTTTTCACCATAGGCATCAATGAGCTCCCAAATATCCCATCCCAGATTCTACAAAAACAGTGTTTCCAAACTGCTCAGTCAAAAGAAGGGTTTAACTCTGTGAGATGAATGCACACATCACAAAGCAGTTTGTCAAAACGCTTCTTTCTAGTTTTTATCTGAAGATATTTCCTTTTTCACAATAATCCACAGTGTGCTCCCTAATATACCTTTGCAAATTCTACAAAAACAGTGTTTCCAATCTGCTCAATCAAAATAAAGGTTTAACTCGGTGACATGAATGCACACATCAAAAATCAATTTCTCAGACAGCTTCTGTCTAGTTCTTCTCTGAAGATATTTCCTTTTTCATCATAGGCCTCAATGTGCTCCTAAATATCCCTTCCATATTGTATAAAAATAGTGTTTCTGAACTGTTCCATTAAAAGAAAGATTTACCTCTCTAAGATGAATGCACACATCAGAAACCAGTTCCTAATAACACTTCTTTCCATTTTTTATCTGAAACTATTTCCTTGTTCAACATAGGCCTTTTTGCGCTACCTAATATCACTTAAAAGATTATACAAAATCAGTGTTTCCAAACTGCTCAGTCAAAAGAAAAGTTTAATTCTGTAAGATGAATGCATACATCACAAAGCAGTTACAAAAAGCTGCTTTGTAGTTTTTATCTGAAGATATTTCCTTTTTCACTATAGGCTTCAGTGTGTTCCCAAATATCCCTTTGCAGATTCTACAAAAACAGTGTTTCCAAACAGCGCAATCAAAAGAACCTTTTAACTCCATGAGAAGAATGCATACATTACAAAGCAGTATTACAAAAGCTTATTTTTAGATTTTATTTGAAGATATTTCCTTTTTCACCGTAGAACTTCAATGTGCACCCAAATATCACTTTGCAGATTCTACAAAAACTGTGTTTCCAAACCGCTATATCAAAAGAAAGGTTTAACCCTGTGAGATGAACGCACACTTCCCAAAGCAGTTTCTCAGAAAGCTCTTGTCTCCTTCTTCAATGAAGATAATTCCTTTTCCACCTTAGGCCTCAATGTGCTCCCAAATATCCCTTCTCCAATTCTACAAGAACAGTGTTTCCAAACTGTTCCATCAAACGAAGGACTTAACTCTGTGATCTGAATGCACACATCAGAAAGCAGCTTCTCAAAACTCTTCTTTCCACTTTTAATCTGAAGATATTTCCTTTTTTACCATAGGCTTTTCTGTGCTAGCTAATATCCCTTCACAGATTACACAAAAAGTGTTTCCAAACTGCTCAGTCAAAAGAATGGTGAATCTCCTTAAGACGAGTGCACACATCACAAAGCAGTTTCACAAAAAGCTTCTTTCTAGTTTTTATCCAAATATATTTCCTTTTTCACCATAGGCCTAACTGCACTTTCAAATATCCCATTGCATATTCTACAAAAACAGTTTTTTCAAACTCCTCAATCAAAAGAAAGGTTTAAATCTGTGGGAAGAATACACACATCACAAACTGGTTTCCCACAAAGCTTCATTATACTTCTAATCTGAAGTTATTTCTTTTTTTACCATTAGGTAAGTTCAATCCCAAATATCCCTTGGCAGATTCTACCAAAACACTGTTTCCACACTGCTCAATCAAAAGAAAGCTTTAACTCTGTCAGATGAATGCACACATCAGAGAGCAGTTTCTGAGAAAGATTCTTTCTAGCTTTTATCTGGAGATATTTCCTTTTTCACCACAGGCCTCAATGTGATCCAAATTAAATATTTGCAGATTCCACCAAAAGTTCGTCTCCAAATGGCTCCATCAAAAGAAAAATTTAACAATGTGAAATGAATACACACATCACAAATCAGTGTATCAGAAATGGTCTTTCCAGTTTTTATCTGAAAATACTTCTTTTTTCACCATAGGCCTCTTTGTGACACAAAATATCACTTCACAGGTTATACAAAAACATTGTTTCCAAACTTCTGTGTCAAAAGAAAAGTTTAACTCTGTGAGATGAATGCATATATCACAATGTAGTCTCTCAAAAATCTTCTGTCTAGTTTTTATACGAAGATATTTCTTTTTTCACCAGTCTTCAATGTGCTCCCAAATATCCCTTTGCAGATTCTACAAAACCAGTGTTTTAAAACTGCTCTATCAAAAGAAAGATTTAACTCTGTGAGATAAATACATACATCAAAATGCAGTTTCTCAGATAGATGCTGTCTAGTTCTTTTCTGAAGTTATTTCCTTTTCCACCATAGGCCTCAATTTGCTCTTAAATGTCGCTCCACACATTCTATAAAAACAATGTTTCTGAACTGTTCCATCAAAAGAAAGATGTAATTCTGTGAGATGAATGCACACATCAGAAAGCAGTTTTTCATAACGCTTCTTTCCAGTTTTTATCTGATGATATTCCCTTGTTCACCATAGGCCTTTTTGTGCTACAAAACATGGCCTTGCAGGTTATACAAAAACATTGTTTCCAAACAGCTCACTCAAAAGAAAAGTTTAAGTCTGTCAGGTGTATGCAAAGATCACAAAGCAGTTTCTCAAAAAGCTTCTTTCTAATTTTCATCCAAAGATATTTCCTTTTTCACCATAGGCCTCAGTGCGATACCAAATATTGCTTTGCAGAATATACAAATACAGTGTTTCCAAACTGCTCAATCAAAAGAAAGATTTAACTCTTTGAGAAGAATGCACATTTCACAAAGCAGTTTCTCATAAAGATTCTCTCTAGTTTTTCTGTGTAGCTATTTCATTTTTCAACATAAGCTTCAAAGCACTCAAAAATATCCCTGTGCTGACAAATATCTCTTCACAATATAAATCCCTTCACAGATTCTACAAAAACAGTGTCTCCAAACTGTTGCATTATAAGAAAGGTGTACCTCTGTGAGATGAATGCACACATCAGAAAGCAGTTTCTCATAACGTTTCTTTCCAGTTTTTATCTGAAGATATTTCCTTTTTCGACCTTTGCTTTTTGAGCTACCTAACAATGCTTCACAGATTTTGCAAAAACAATGTTTCCAAACTGCTCAGCCAAAACAAAGATTTAACTCTGTGAGATGTATGCACGCATCACAAAGCAGTTTCTCAAAAACTTCTTTCTAGTATTTATCTGAAATTTTCCCTTTATCACCATAGGCTTCAATGCGCTCCCAAATAACCTTTTGAATATTCTACAACAACACTGTTTCCAAACTGCTCAATCAAGAAACAGGTTCAACTCTGTGAGTTGAATGCACTCATCACAAAACATTTTCTCAAAAATCTTCTTTCCTGTTTTTATCTGAAGATATTTCTTTTTCACCATAGGCCTCAGTTGCACTCCCAAATATAACTTTGCAGATTCTACAGAAACAGTGTTTCCAAACTGCTCAATACACAGAAAGTTTTATTCTGTGAAATGAATGCACACATTACAATGTAGTTTCTCAGAAAGTTTCTGTCTAGTTCTTCTCTGAAGATATTTCCTTTTTCACCGTAGGCCTCAATGCACTGCCCAATATCCCTTCACAGATTCTACAAAATCAGTGTTTCCAAACTGTTCCATCAAAAAAAGAACTGAACTCTGTGAGATGAATTCACACATCAGAAAGCAGTTTCTCATAATGCTTCCTTCCAGTTTTTATCTGAAGATATTTCCTTGTTCACCATAGGCTTTTTTGCATACTCAACTTCGCTTCACAGATTCTACAAAAGGAGTGTTTCCAAACTGCTAAATGAAAAGAAATGTTTAACTCTGTGAGATGAATACACACATCACAAAGCAGTTTAACAAAAAAGGTCATTTCTAGTTTTTATCCAAAAAATTTCCTTTTTCACCGTAGGACTCAGTGTGCACCCAATTATACCTTTGAAGATTCGACAAAAACAGTTTTTCCAAATGGCTCAATTAGCCAAAAAGGTTTAACTCTGTGAGACAAATGCACACATCACAAAGAAGTTTCTCAAAGGCTTCTGTCTAGTTCTTCTCTGAAGATATTTCCTTTTCCACCATAGGTCTCGATGTGCTCCCTAATATCACTACGTAGATTCTATAAAAACAGTGTTATCGAACTTTTCCATCAAAAGAAGGATTTAACTCAGTGAGATGAACACACACATCAGAAAGCAGTTTCTTATAACTCTTCTTTCCAGTTTTTATCTGATATTTCCTTGTTCACCATAGGCCTTTTCATGCCACCTAACATTGCTTCACAGATTATAGGAAAACAGTGTTTCCAAACCACTCAGTCAAAATAAAAGTTTAACTCTGTGAGATAAATGCATACATTGCAAGGCAGTTTCTCATAGAGCCTCATTCTACTTTTTATCCAAAGATATTTCCCATTTCACTGTATTCATCAGTGCTCTCCCAAATATCCCTTTGCAGATTCTACAAAAACAGTGTTTCTGAATTACTCAGTCAAAATAAACATTTAACTTTGTGAGAAGAATGCACACATTACAAAGCGATTTGTCAGAAAGCTTCTTTCTAGTTTTTATCTGAAGTTATTTCCTTTGTCACATTGGACCTCATGCACTCCCAAATATCCTGTCACAGATTCTGCAAAAACTGTGTTTCCAAATGGTTCAGTCAAAGGAAAAGTTTACCTCTGTGAGATGAATGCATACATCCAAAGCAGTTTCTCAAAGAGCTTCTTTCTATTTTTTGTCTGAATATATTTCCTTTTTCACCAAAGGCATCATTGTGCTCCCAAATATCCCTTTGCAAATTCTACAAAAACAGTGCTTCCCAACTTCTCAACAGAAATAAACGTTTAACTCTGTGAGAAGAATGCACACATCACAAAGCAGTTTCTCAGAAAGCTTCTTTCTAGTTTTTATCTCAAGTTCTTCCCTTTTCGCCATAAGCCTCCTGCACTCTGAAATATCCTTTCGCAGATTCTACAAAAACAGTGATTTCAAACTGGTCAATGAAAGGAAAGTTTTAATTCTGTCACGTGAATACACATATCACACAGAAATTTCTCAGAAAGCTTCTCTCTAGTTCTTCTCTGAATATATTTCCTTTTCCACCATAGACCTCAATGGGTTCCCTAATAGCCCTTCACAGATTCTACAAAAACAGCATTTGCAACCTATACCATCAAAAGAAGAACTTAGCTCTGTGAGATGAATGCACACATCAGAAAGCTGTTTATCATAATGCTTCTTTCCAGTTTTGTCTGAATGTATTTCCCTCTTCACACTAGGCTTTTTTGCATTACCTAATATCGCATCGCGGATTTTATAAAAACAGTGTTTCCAAACTGTTCAGTCAAAAGAAAGTTTTAACAGTGTGAGATGAATGTACACATCACAAAGCAGTTTCTCAAAAAGCTTCTTTCTCGTTTTTATCCAAAGATGTTTCCTTTATCACCATTGGCCACAGTGCGCTCCCAGATATACCTATGCAGATACTACAATAATAGTGTTTCCAAACTGCTCAATCAATACAAAAGTTTAACTTTGTGACAGGAACGAACACATCAGAAAGCAGTTTCTCATAACACTTTTCCCAGTTTATATCTGAAGATATTTCCTTTTTCACCATAGGCTTTTTTGTACTGCCTAATATTACTTTGCAGAGTTTGCAAAAACAGTGTTTCCAAACTGCTCAGTAAAAATAAAAGTTTAACTCTGTGAGATGAATGCACACATCACAAAGCAGTTTCTCAAAAACTTCTCTCTAGTTTTTATCTGAAGATATTTCCTTTATCCCCATAAGCTTTAATGTGCTTCCAAATATCCAGTCACAGATCCTACAAAAACAGTGTTTCTAATCTGCTCAATAAAAAAACCTTTTTAACTCGTTAGTTGAATGCACACATCACAAAGTAGTTTCTAAAAAGCTTTTTTTTAGTTTTTATCCGAAGATATTTCCTTTTTCACCATAGGTGTCAATGCACTCCCAAGTATACATTTGCAGATTCTACGAAAAGAGTATTTCCATACTGCTCAATCAAAAGAAAGGTTTAACTCTGTGAGATGAATGCACACATCACAAAGCAGTTTCTCTGATAGCTTCTGTCTAGTTGTTCTCTGAAGATATTTCCTTTTCCACCATAGGACTCAATGGCCTCAAGCATTTAACTCTGTGAGAGCAATGCTGACATCAGAATGCAGTTTCTCACAAAATGTCTTCCTAGTTTTTCTCTGAAGATATTTGCTTTTTCACCATAGACTTCATTGCACACTTCCAATTTCCCTTCACAGATTCTATGAAAATTGGGCTAAGAAACTGTGTCACCAAAAGAAATGTTTGATTCTGTGAGATGAAATCACACATCACAAAGCAGTTTCTCAGAAAGCTTCCTTCCATTTTTCTCTGAAGATATTTCTCTTTTCACAACAAGCCTTAATGTGCTCCCAAGTATCCCTTCATGGATTCTTCAAAAACAGTGATTCCAAAATGTCCCCCAAAAAGAAAGCTCTATCTCTCTGAGATGAATACACACACCACAAAGTAGTTTTTCAGACAGTTTCTGTTTAGTTTTTCCCTGCAGATATTTCTTTTCACCATAGGCCTCAATGCACTCCCAACCATCCCTTCACAGATTCTACAACTACAGTGTTTACAAACTGCTCCATCAAAAGAAAAGTTTAACTCTGTGAGATGAATGCACAGACCACAAAGCAGTTTCTCACAAACCTTCTTTCTAGTTTTTGTCTAAAGATATTTCCATTTTCACCTTAGGCCTCAATGTGCTCTGAAATATCCCTTTGCAGTATATATAAAACCAAGGTTAACAAACTGCTCCATCAAAAGTAAGATTTAACTCTGTGAGATGAATGCACACATCACAAAGCAGTTTTGCAGAAAGCTTCTGTCTAGTTTTTATCTCAAGATATTTCCCTTTTCACCACAGGCATGAAAACACTCCCAAATATGGCTTCACAGATTCTACAAATACTGTGATTTCAAACTGCTCCTTCAAAGGAAAATTTTTTTTCTTTTTTTTCATTTATTATTATTATACTTTAAGTTTTAGGGTACATGTGCACAATGTGCATGTTAGTTACATATGTATACATGTGCCATGCTGGTGCGCTGCACCCACTAACCCATCATCTAGCATTAGGTATATCTCCCAATGCTATCCCTCCCCCCTCCCCCCAACCCACAACAGTCTCCAGAGTGTGATGTTCCCCTTCCTGTGTCCATGTGTTCTCATTGTTCAGTTCCCACCTATGAGTGAGAATATGCAGTGTTTGGTTTTTTGTTCTTGCGATAGTTTACTGAGAATGATGATTTCCAATTTCATCCATGTCCCTACAAAGGACATGAACTCATCATTTTTTATGACTGCGTAGTATTTCATGGTGTATATGTGCCACATTTTCTTAATCCTGTCTATCATTGTTGGACATTTGGGTTTGATTCAAAGGAAAATTTTAACTCTGTGAGATGAATGGACGCATAACAAAGCAGTTTCTCAGAAAGCTTCCTGCTACTTTTTCTCTGAAGATATTTCTCTTTTCACCACAGGCCTTAATGTGCACTGAAATATCCGTTTGCAGATCTTACAACAACAGGGACTCCAAACTGCTAAATCAAAAGAAAGGTTTATCTCTGTGAGATGAATGCTCATATCTCAAAGCAGTTTCTGAGAAAGCTTCCTTCTAGTTTTTCTCTGAAGATATTTATCTTTTCACCACAGGGATCAATCTGCTACCAAATATCCCTTTGCAGATTATACAAAAATAGTTATTCCAAGCTGCCTCATTAAAAGAAAGATTTATCTCTATGAGATGAATGTACACATCACAAAGTAGTTTTTCTGAAAGCTTCTTTCTAGTTTTGCTATGAAGGTATTTCTTTTCAAAATAGATCACAATGTGTTCCTAAATATCCCTTCACAGATTCTACAAATACAGTGTTTTCAAACTGCTCCATCAAAAGAAAATTTTAACTCTTTGAGATGAATGCACACATCACAAAGCAGTTTCTCAGAGACCTTTCTAGTTTTTGTCTAAAGATATTTCCATTTTAACCATAGGCCAGAATGCACTCCAAATTAGTCCTTTGCAGTTTATTCAAAAGCAAGGTTAAGAAACTGCTCCATAAAAAGAAAGGCTTAACTCTGTCACATGAATGCATACATCACAAAATATTTTCTATGATAGTTTCTTTCTAGTTTTTCTGTGAAGATATATCCTTTTCCACATGAGCACCAAAGGTACTCATAAATATTCCTTCACCAATTGTATAAAAACAGTGTTTACAAACTACTCCATCTAATGAAAGTTTTAACTCTCCAAGGTGAATGCACACATAACAAAGAAGTTTCTTAGAAAGCTTCTTTCTCGATTTTCTCTGAAGATATTTCCCTTTTCACCATAGGCCTGAATGCTCTCCCAAATATCCCTTCACGGATTTCTGCAAAAAGAGTGATTCCAAACTGCTCCATCAAAAGAAAGATTTAAGTCTGTGTGATGAGTGCACACATCACAAACTGGTTTCTCAGAAAGCTCATTTATAGTTTTTCTCTGAAGATATTTCCTTTTTTCCTGTAGGCCTCAATATGCTCTGAAATATCTCTTCACAGATTCTACAAATACAGTTTTTCCATAATGCTCCATGTAAATACAGTTTTAACTCAGTGAGATGAATGCACACATCAGAAAGCAGTTTCTCAGAAAGCTTCTTACTGGTTGTTCTCTGAAGATATTTCCTTTTTCACAGCAGGCCACATTGTGCTCAAAAATATCCATTCACAGAAACTACAAATACAGTGTTTCCAAACTGCTCCATCAAAAGAAAGGTCTAACTCAATGAGTTGCATGAGCACATCACAAAGCAGTTTCTCAGAAAGCTTCATTCTAGTTTTTGTCTAAAGAGATTTCCATTTTCACCACAGGCCTCAATGTGTTCCAAAATATGCCTTCACAGTTTATACAAAAACAGGGTTAATAAACTGCTCCATCAAAAGAAAGGTTTAACTCTGTGAGATTAATACATGCAACACAAAGCACTTTCTCAGAAAGTTTCTCTCTAGTTTTTCTCTGAAGATATTTCCTTTTCACCATAGGACTCTATGTGCTCCAAAATTTCTCTTCACCAATTATACAAAAACAGTGTTTACAAACTACTCCATCAAAGGAAAGGTTTAACTCTGAGATGAAAGTACACATCAAAAAGCCGTTTCACAGGTATCTTCTGCCTAGTTTTTATCTGAAGATATTTCCCTTTTCACCAGAGGCCTGAAAGCACTCCCAAATATGGCTTCGCAGATTCTACAAATACATTGTTTTCAAACTACTCCTTCAAAGGAAAGGTTTAACTCTGTGAGATAAATGGACACATCATGAAGCCACTTCTCAGAAAGCTTCTTTCATGTTTTTCTCTGAAGATATTTCCTTTTCCACAATAGACCTCAATGAGCTCTGAAATATATCTTTGCAGATTCTACAAATACAGTGTTTCCAAACTGCTCTATCAATAAAGAGGTTTAATTCTGTCAGATGAATGCACACATCACAAAGCAGTTTCTCAGAAAGCTTCGTTCTAGTTTTTGTCTAAAGATAATTCAATTTTCACAATAGGCCTCTAAGCACTCCAACATATACTTTTGCGGTTTATAAAAAAACAGGGTTAACAAATTGCTCCATCAAAAGGAAGGTTTAACTTTGTGAGATGAATGCACACATCACAAAGCAGTTTCTCAAAAAGCTTCTTTCTAGTATTACTCCGAATATATTTATCTTTTCATCCCAGGCTTTAATGCACTCCCAAATATCCCTTTGCAGATTCTACCAAACAGTGACTCCAAACTATTCCATCAAAAGAAAGGTTTAACTGTGTCAGATGAATGCACACATCACCAAGCAGTTTCTCAGAAAGCTTCCTTCTAATTTTTCTCTGAAGATATTTCCATTTTCACAATAGTCCTCAATGCTCTCCCAAATATGGCCTTGCAGATTCTATAAATACAGCGTTTCCAAACTGCTCTATCAAAAGAAAGGTTTAAGTCTGTCAGATGAATGCTCAAATCACAAAGCAGTTTTTCAGAAACTTCTTTTTAGTTTTTCTCTGAAGATATTTCTTTTCACCATTGGCCTCAATGAGCTCCCAAGTATCCCTTCGCAGATTCTACAAATACAGTGTTTACAAACTGCTCCACCAAAAGAAAGGTTTGATTTTGTGAGATGAAAGCACACATCATGAAGCAGTTTCTCAGAAAGCTTCCTTCTAGTTTTTCTCTGAAGATATTTCTCTTTTCACCACAGGCGTCAGTGTGCTAGGAAATATCCCATTGCAGATTCTACACAAACACTGATTCCAAACTGTCCCATTAAAAGAAAGGTTCATCTAGGTGATGTGAATGCACGCATGACAAAGAAATTTTTCAGAAAACTTCTTTTAATTTTTCTCTGAAAATGTTTTTTTAACCATACGCCTCAATGTGCTGCAAAGTCTGCCTTCACAGGTTCTACATATATAGTGTTTACACACTGCTCCAACAAAAAAAAGGCTTAAATGTGTAAGATGAATGCACACATCAGAAAGCAGTTTATGAGAAACATTCTTTACAGTTTTTGTCAAAAGATGTTTCCATTTTCACCATAGGCCTCAATGCCTTCTGAAATATCCCTTTGCAGTTTATACAAAAGCAAGGTAAACAAACAGTTCCATCATAAAATTTTTTAACTCTGTGGTACAAATGCACACATCACAAAGTAGTTTTTCAGAAAGCTTCTTTTTAGTTTTTTCTGAAGATATTTCTTTTCCCCATTGGCCTCAATGAGCTCCCAAGTGTCCCTTTGCAAATTCTACAAATATAGTGTTTACAAACTGCTCCATCAAAAGAAAGGTTTACCTCTGTGAGGTGAATGCACACACCACAAACAGCTTCTCAGAAACCTTCTTTCTAGTTTTGGTCTAAAGATATTTCCAGTTTCACCATAGGCCATAATGCACTCTGAAATATCCCTTTGCAGTTTATACAAAAACAAGGTTAACAAACTGTTCCATCAAAAGAAAGGTTTAGCTCTATGAGATGAATGCATACATCACAAACTAGTTTCTCAGAAAGTTTCTTTCTAGTTTTTCTCTGACGATATTTCCTTTTCACCATAGGAATCACTGCGTTCATAAATATCCCTCTGCTGATTATACAAAAAAAGTGTTTACAAACTACTCCATCTAAAGAAAGTTTTAAATCTGTGAGATGAGTGCACACATCACAAAGCAGTTTCTCAGAAAGCTTCTATCTGGATTTTATCTGAAGATATTTCCCTTTTCACCATAGGCCTCATGGGTTCCCAAATATGCCTTCGCTGATTCTACAGAAACAGTGTTTCCAAACTGATCAATCAAAAGAAAGGTTTGATTCTGTGAGACTAATGCACACATCATGAACAGTTTCTCAAAAAGCTTCTTTCTAGTTTTCATCCGAAGGTATTTCCTTTTTCAAAATAGGCTTCAATGTGCTCCCAAATATCCCTTCACACATTCTACAAAAACAGTGTTTCCAAACTGATCAATCAAAAGAAAGGTTTAATTCTGTGAGACTAATGCACACATCACAACGCAGTTGTCAGAAAGCCTCTGTCTATTTCCTCTCTGAAGATATATATTTTTCCACCACAGGCCTCATTGCACTCCCAAATATCCATTTGCAGATTCTACCTAAAGAGTGTTTGCAAACAGTCCAATCAAAAGAAGGACTTAACTCTGTGAGATGAATGCACACATCAGAAAGTAGTTTCTCAAAAAGCATCTTTGTAGTCTTTATCCAAAGTCATTTGCTTTTTCAAGATAGGCCTCTTGTGCTCTCAAGAATCCCTTCGCAGTTTGTACAAAAACAGTGTTTCCAAATGGCTCAATAAACAGAAAGGCTTAACTCTGTGAGAAGAATGCACACATCACAAAGTAGTTTCTCAAAATTCATCTTTCTAGTATTTATCCGAAGATATTTCATGTTTCACCATAGCCTTCAATGCACTCCCAAATATGCCCTTGCAGATGCTTCAAAACCAGTGTTTCCAAACTACTCAATCAAAAGAAATATTTAACTCTGTGAGAGGAATGCACACATAACAAAGCAGTTTCTCAGAACGCTCCTGTCTAGTTCTTCTCTGAAGATATTTCCTTTTCCACCATAGGCCTAAAAGTGCACCCAAATATCCCCTTGCAGATTCTACTAAAACAGTGTTTCCAAACTGTTCCATCAAAAGACAGATTTAACTCTGTGAGATGAATGCACACATCAGAAAGCAGTTTCTCACAACGCTTCTTTCCAGTTTTTATCTGAAGTTATTTCCTTGTTAAACATAGGCCTTTTTGCACTATTTAACATCACTTGCAGATTATACAAAAACTGTGTTTCCAAACTGCTCAGTCAAAAATATTATTTAACTCTGTGAGATGAATGCATACACCACAAAGTGGTTTCTCAAAAAACTTCTTTCTAGTTTTTATCCAAAGATATTTCCTTTTTCACCATAGGCATCACCGCACTCCCAAATATCCCTTTTCAGTTTTGGCAATAACAGTGTTTTCAAACTGCTCAATGAAAAGAAACGTTTAAGTATCTGAGAAGAATGCACACATCACGAATCAGTTTCTCAGAAAGCTTCTTTCTAGTTTTTATCTGAAGTTATTTCCTTTTTCACTGTAGGCCTCATGCACTCCCCTATAACCCTTCGTAGGTTCTACAAAAAAAGTGTTACAAAACTGATCAATCAAAAGAAAGGTTTAACTCTGTGAGATGAATGCACACATTGCAAGCAGTTTCTCAAAAATATTATTTCTAGCTTTTATCTGAAGATATTTCCTTTTTCAACATAGGCTTCAATGCACTCACAAACATGCCTTCAGAGATTCTAGAAAAACAGTGTTTCAAAACTGCTGAATCAAAAGACACATTTTACTCTGTGAGAAGTATACACCCAACAAAAAGTGTTTTCTCAGAAAGCTTCTTTCTACTTTTTCTCAGTAGTTTTTTTTTCACCAAAAACCCCTTTTGCTCCCAAATACACATTTGCAGATTCTACAAGTGTTTCCAAACTGATCAATCAAGGGAAAAGTTTAATTCTTTCATTTGAATGCACACATTGCAAAGCAGTTTCTCAAAAAGCTTCTTTCTAGTTTTTACCTAAAGAAATTCCTTTATCACCATAGGCTTCAAAGTGCTCTAAAATATCCTGTTGAACATTCTACAAAAACAATGTTTCCAAACTACTCAATCAAAAAACACATTTACATCTGTGAGTTTAATGCTCACATCACAAAGCAGTTTCTCAAAAAGCTTCTTTCAAGTTTTTATCCGAAGATATTTCCTTTTTCACAATGGGCCTCAATGCACTCACAACTATACATTTGCAGGTTCTCCAAAACAGTGTTTCCAAATTGCTCAAACAAAAGAAAGGTTTAACTCTGTGAGATGAATGCGCACATCACAAAACCATTTCTCAGATACCTTCTGTCTAGTACTTCTCTGAAGTTATTTCCTTTTCCACCATAGGACTCAATGCACTCCTGAATATCCCTTTGGAGATTCTACGAATCAGTGTTTCTGAACTGTTCCATCAAAGGAAGCATTTAACTCTGAGAGATGAACACACACCTCAGAAACAAGTTCCTTATAACGCTCCTTTCTAGCTTTTATCTGAAGCTATGTCCTTTATTGCCATAGGCCTTTTTGTGCTACATAACATCGCTTCGCAGGGTATACAAAAGAGTGTTTCCAAACAGCTTAGTCAAAAGAAAAGTTTAACTCTGTGAGTTGAATGCACACATCATCAAGCAGTTTCTCAAAACAATTCTTTCTAGTTTCTATCCGAAGATACTTCCTTTTTCACCATAGGACTCAATGCGTTCCCAAATATCCCATCGCAGATTCTACAAAAACAGTGTTTCCAAACCGCTCAATCATAAGAATTGTTTAGCTCTGTGAGATGAATGCAAACTTCACAAAGCTGTTTATCAGAAAGCTTCTGTCTAGTTCTTCTCTGAAGATGTTTCCTTTTCCACCATTGGCCTCAATACATTACCAAATATCCCTTTGCAGATTCTACAAAAACAGTGTTTCTGAACTGTTCTCTCTAAAGAAGGACTCAACTCTGTGAGCTGAACACACACATCAGGAAGCATTTTCTCATAACGCTTCCTTTCCAGTTTTTGTCTGAATGTATTTTCTTCTTCACCTTAGGCTATTTGGCAGTAACTAGTATTGCATCATAGATTTTGGAAAAACGCTGTTTCCAAACTGCTCAGTAAAAAGAAATGTTTAACTCCCTGAGGTGAATGCAGACATCATAAAGAATTTTCTCAAAAATCTTCTTTCTAGTATTTATCCACATATATTTCCTTTATCAGCATCGATATCAGTGCACTCCCAAATATCCTGTTGCAGATTCTACAAAAACAGTATTTCCAAACTGCTAAATAAAAGAAAGGTTTAACTCTGTGATATGAATACACACATCACAAAGCACTTTCTCAGGAAGCTTCTGTGTAGTTCTTCTCTGAAGATATTTCCTTTTCCACTATAGGCCTCAATGCACTCCCAAATATCCCTCTGCAGATTCCAGAAAAACAGTGTATACACACTGTTCCATCAAAGAAGGATTTAACTCTATGAGATAAACACACATATCAGAAAGTTGTTTCTAATAATGCTTCTTTCCAGTCTTTATCTGAAGGTATTTCCTTGTTAATCATTGGCTGTTTTGCACTATGAAACATCAGTTTGCAGATTATACCAAAACAGTGATTCCAAACGACTCAGTCCAGAGAAAAGTTTAACTCCATGAGATGAATGCATACATCACATAGAAGTTTCTCTGAAAGGTTCTTTCTAGTTTTTATCTGAAGATATTTTCTTTTTCATCATAGGCATCAGTGTGCTTCCAAAGATCCCTTTGCAGATTCTACAAAAACCGTATTTCCAAATGGCTCAATCAAAAGAAATGATTAACTCTGTGAGAAGAAAGCACACATCACAAAGTAGTTTCTCAGAAAGTATATTTCTTGTTTTTATCAGAACTTATTTCCTTTTTCACCATAGGCCTCTTGTGTTCCAAAATATCCCTTCACAGATGCCACAAAAACAGTGTTTCCAAACTTCTTAATCAAAAGAAAGGTTTAACTCTGTGACATTAATGCACACATCACAACGCAGTTGTCAGAAAGCTTCTGTCTAGTTCTTCTCTGAAAGTATTTATTTTTCCACCATAGGCATCAATGCTCTCCCAAATATCCATTTGCAGATTCTACAAAAACAGTGTTTGCAAAAGTCCAATCAAAAGAAGGACTTAATTCTGTGAGATGAATGCACATATCAGAGAGATGTTTCACGTAATGCTTCTTTCCAGTGTTTTTCTGAAGATATTTCCTTGTTCACAATAGGACATTTGCGCTACCAGACATGGTGTCACATATTACACAAAAACAGTGTTTCCAAACTGCTCAGTCAGAAGAAAAGTTTAGCTCTGTGAGATGAATGTATCCATCACCAAACAGTTCCTCAAAGCACTTCTTTCTAATTTTTATCCAAAGGTATTTTCTTTTTCACTTTAGACCTTAGTGAACTCTAAAATATACCTTTGGAGATTCTACAAAAACAGTGTCTCCAAACTGATCAATCAAAAGAGAGGTTTAACTCTGTGAGATAAATGCACATATCACAAAGCACTTCCTCCAAAAGCTTCTTTCTAGTTTTTGTTCAAAGATATTTCCTTTATCACCATAGGCTTAAGTGCCCTCCAAAATAACCCATCACAGGTTCTACAAAAACAGTGTTTCCAAACTACTCATCTAAAAATAGGTTTAATTCTGTGAGATGAGTGCACACATCATAAAGAAGTTTCTCAAAAAGCTTCTTTCTAGCTTTTATCCAAAGATATTTCCTTTTTCACCATATGCCTCAATGTGCTCCCTAATACAACTTTGCAGATTCTACAAAAACAGTGCTTCCAAACTGCTCAATCAAAAGGTAGGATTAACTCTGTGAGATGAACACATACATCAGAATGCAGTTTCTTATAACGCTTCTTTCCTGTTTCTATCTGAAGATATTTCCTTGTTCACCAAAGGCTTTTTTTTGCACTACATGATTACGCTTCATGGATTTGGCAAAGAGTGTTTCCAAACTGCTCAGTCAACAGCAATGTTTAACTCTGTGAGATGAATGCACACTTCACAAAGTTGTTTCTCAAAAAGCTTCTTTCTAGTTTTTATCTGAATATATTTCCTTTTTCACCTTAGACCTCAATGTGCTCCCAAATATGCCTTTGCAGATTCTATAAAAACAGTGTTTCTGAACTGTTCCAACAATGAAATATTTCAGTCTGTGAGATTAATATACACATCACAATGCAGTTTCTCATAATGCTTCTTTCCACTTTTTATCTGAAGATATTTCCTTGTTTACTATAGGCCCTTTTGAGATATCTAATATTGCTTTGCACATTATTCAAAATCAGTGCTTCCAAACTGCTCAGTCAAAGGAAAAGTTTACCTCTGTGGGATGAATGCATACATCACATGGCAGTTTCTCAAAAACCATCTTTCTAGTTTTTATCTGAAGATATTTTCTTTTTCACCAGTCATAAGTGTGTGCCCAAATATCCTTTTGTGGATTCTACAAAAACAGTGTTTTCTAACCGCTCAATCAAAATAAATGTTTAACTCTGTGAGAAGAATGCACACATCAGAAAAGCAGTTTCTCAGAAAGCTTCTTGCTAGTTTTTATCTGAAGTTATTTCCTTTTTGAGCATAGGCCTTGCGCACTCCTGAATATCCCTTCACAGATTCTACAAAAACAGTGTTTCCAAATTGTTTCATCAAAAGAAGGACTTAATTCTGTGAGATGAGAGCACACATCAGAAAGCTGTTTCACATAATGCTTCTTTCCACTTTTTATCTGAAGATATTTCCGTTTTCCCCTTAGACTTTTCACGCCACCTAATATTGCTTCACAGATTTTGCCAA
Source organism: Homo sapiens (assembly GCF_000001405.40). Lineage (NCBI taxonomy): Eukaryota > Metazoa > Chordata > Mammalia > Primates > Hominidae > Homo > Homo sapiens. The sequence goes on from NW_011332694.1 coordinate 402,509, forward strand.
AACAGTGTTTCCAAACTGCACAGTCAAAAGAAAGTTTAAACTCTGTGGATGAATGCCCACATGATCAAGCTGTTTCTCAATACAACTCTTTCTTGTTTCCATCCAAAGATATTTCCTTTTTCACCATAGGACTCAATGCATTCCCAAATATCCCATCACAGATTCTACAAAAACAGTCTTTCCAAACCATTGAATCAAAAGTAAGTTTTAGCCCTGTGAGACAAATGCAAACATCACAAAGCAGTTTATCAGAAAGCTTTTGTCTAGTTCTTTTCTGAAGATGTTTCCTTTTCCACCATTGGCCTCAATGTACTCCCACATATCCCGTCACAGATTCTACAAAGAAAGTGTTTCAAAACTGATGTATCAAAAGAGGTTTAACTCTGTGATTTGAAAGCACACATCACAAAGCAGTTTCTCAAAAAGATTCTTTCTAGTTTTTACCTGAAGACAATTCCTTTTTCACCATAGGCCACAGTGCACCCCCAAATATACTTTTGCAGATACTACAAATACGAGGTTTCCAAAGAGCTCAATCAAAAGTAAGTTTTAACCCTGTGAGATGAATGCACACATCACAAAGCAGTTTCTCAGATAGCTTCTGTCTAATTCTTCTCTGAAGTGGTTTCTTTTTTCATCATAGGCCTCAAAGCACTCCCAAATATCCCTTCACATATTCTACATAAACAGTGTTTCCAAACTGCTCAATCAAAAGAAACGTTTAACTCTGTGAGAAGAATGCACACATCACAAAGCAGTTTCTCAGAAACTTTCTTTCTAGTTTTTATGTGAAGTTAATTCCTTTTTCGTCATAGGCCTCACTGCACTCCCACTTGTCCCTTCGTATATCTTACAATAACAGTGTTTCCAAACTGATACATCCAAAGAAAGGTTTCGCCCTGTGAGATGAATGCACACGTAACAAAGCAGTTTCTCTAAAAGCTTCTTTCTAGCTTTTATCTAAAGATATTCAATTTTTCACCGTAGGGTTCAATGTGTTCCCAAATATCCCTTCACAATTTCTACAAAAACAGTGTTTCCAAATTGCTCAATCAAAAGAAAGTTTGAACTCTGTGGGTTGAATGCACACATCACCAAGCATTTTCTCAGATAGGTTCTGACTAATTCTTGTCTGAAGATATTTCCTTTTCCACCATAGTCTTCAATGTGCTCCCAATAATCCCTTCTCAGATTCTATAAAAACAGTGTTTGCAAACTCTTCCATCAAAAGTAGGACATAACTCTCTGAGATGAACACACATATCAGAAAGCATTTTCCCATAATGCTTCTTTCCACTTTTTTTCTGAAGATAATTCCTTGTTCACCCCAGGCTTTTTAGTGCTAACAAATATCGCTTCACAGATTTTGTAAAAACAGTATTTCCAAACAGCTCAATGAAAAGAAAACTTTAACTCTGTGAGATGAATGCACACATCACAAAGCTGTTTCTCAAAAAGGTTCTTTTTAGTTTTTTCCGAAGATATTTCCTTTTTCACCATAGGCATTAGTGCACTTCTGAATATCCCATTGCAGATTCTACAAAAACACTGTTTCAAAACTGCTCAATCAAAAGAATCATTTAACTCTGTGAGAAGAATGCAGACATCATAAAGCAGTTTCTCAGAAAGCTTCATTTCAGTTTTTATCTGAAGTTATTCCATTTTTCACCATAGGCCTCCTGAGCTCCCAAATATCACTTCACAGATTCTAAAAAAACAGTGTTTCCAACTGCTCAATCAAAAGAAAGGTTTAAATGTGTGAGAGGAATGCACACATCACAAAGCAATTTTTCAGAAATCTTCTGTCTAGTTCTTCTCTTAAGATATTTCCTTTTCCACTATAGGCCTCAATGCACTTGCAAATATCCTTTGGTAGATTCTATAAAAACGGTGTTTCCAAACTGTGTCATCAAAAGAAGGACTTAACTCTGTGAGATGAACGCACACATCAGGATGCAGTTTCTCATAACACTACTTTCCAGTTTTTATCTTTAGATATTTCCTTTTTTGTCATAGGCTTTTTTGCACTACTTATACAAAAACTATCATCTTTCTAAATGGATCAGTCAAAAGAAAGCTTAAAATCTGTGAGATGAAAGCACACATCACAAAGCAGGTACACAAAAAATTTCTTTCTTGTTTATATCTGAAGATATTTCCTTTTTCACCAAAGGCCTAAATGCGTTTTCAAATATCTAATTGAAGATTCTAAAAAAACAGTGTTTCCAACTTGCTCAACCAAAAAAACAGGTTTAACTCTGTGAGTTGAATGCACACATCACAAAGCAGTTTCTTAAAAATTTCTTTTAAATTTTTATCTGAAGGTATTTCCTTTTCCACCATAGGCCTCAACATGCTCCCAAATATCCCTTCGCACACTCCACAAAAACAGTGTTTCCAAACTGTTCCATCAAAAGAAGGAAATAACTCTGTGAGATGAATGCACACATCAGAAAGCAGTTTCTCATAATGATTCTTTCCAGTTTACACATGAAGATATTTCCTTTTTCACCATTGGCTTTTTTGTGCTACTTAAAGTCACCTCACAGATTTTGCAAAAACAGTGTTTTCAAACTCCTCAATCAAAAGAAAGGTTTAACTCTGTGAGATGAATGGTCACATCACAAAGCAGTTTCTCAGAAAGTTTCTTTCTCATTTTTACCCAAAGATATTTCCTTTTTCACCAAAGGCATCAGTGTGCTCCCAAATATCCATTTGCAGATTCTACAAAAACAGTGATCCAAACTCTTCAATCAAAAGAAACGTTTAACTCTGTGAGAAGAATGCACACATCACAAAGCAGTTTCTAATAATGCTTCTTTCCAGTTTTTTCCTTTTTCACCATAGGCCTCGTGTGCTCCCAAATATCCCTTTGCAGACTCTACAAAAGCACAGTTTCCAAACTGATCAATCAAAAGAAATTTTTAAATCTGTGAGATGAATGCACTCATCACAAAGCAGTTTCTCAAAAACTTTCTTTCTAGTTTTTATCAGAAGATATTTCCTTTATCACCATAGGCTTCAATACACTCCAAAATATCCCATTTCAGATTCAACAAAAACAATGTTTCCAAAATGCTCAATCAAAACCCAGATCTTACTCAGTGAGTTGAATGCACACATCACATAGCAGCTTCTCTAAAATTGTCCTGGTAGTTTTTATCTGAAGATATTTAATTTTCTCCTTAGGCCTCAGTGCACTCCAAAATACACCTTTGAAGATTCTACAAAAAGAGTGTTTCCAAACTGCTCAATCAAAAGAAAGTTTTAACTCTTTGAGATGAATACATACATCACAAAGCAGTTTCTCAGTTAGCTTCTGTCTAGTTCTTCTCTGAAGATATTTCCTTTTCCACCATAAGCCTCAATGCACTCCCTAATATCACTTTGCAAATTCTACAAAAACAGTGTTTCCAAACTGTTCCATCAAAAGGAGGACTTAACTGTGTGAGACGAACTCTCATATCAGAGAGCAGTTTCTAGTAACACTTCTTTCCAGGTTTTATCTGAAGATATTTCCTTTTTCACCATAGGGTTTTTTGTGCTAATTAGTATTGCTTTGCAGATTCTGCAAAAGCGCGGTTTCCAAACAGCTCAGTCAAATGAAAGGTTTAAATCAGTCAGGTGAATGCACACATCACAAAGCAGTTTCTCAAAAAACTTCTTTCTAGTATTTATAAAAAGATATTTCATTTATCACCATAGGCTTCAATGCGCTCCCAAATACCCCACTGCAGATTCTACCCAGTTTACAAACTTCTCACTCTAAAACAGATTCAGCTGTGTGAGTTGAATGCACTCATCACAAAGCCATTTCTCAAAAAGCTTCTTTCTAGTTTTTATCTGAAAATATTCCCTTTTTCACCGTAGGCCTCAGGGTGCTCTCAAATATACTTTTGCAGATTCTACAAAAACCGTGTTTCCAAACTGCTCAATCAAAAGAAACGTTTAAATCTGTGAGATGAATGCACACATCACAAGGCAGTTTTCCAGATATATTCTGTCTAGTTCTTCTCTGAAGATATTCCCTTTTCCACCGTAGGCCTCATTGCACCCCCAAATATCCTTTTGCAGATCCCATAAAAAAGTGTTTCTGAACAGTTCCACCAAAAGAAGGACAACTCTGTGAGATGAACGCACACATCAGAAAACAGGTACTCATAACACTTCTTTTCAGTTTTTATCAGAAGATATTTCCGTATTCACCATAGGCCTTTTTGCACTACATAATATCACTTTGCATATTACACAAAAGCAGTGCTTCCAACCAGCTCAATTAAAAGATACATTTAAATCTATGAGAAGAATGAAAAAGCACTTTCTCAAAAAGCTTCTTTCTAGTTTTAATCTGAAGATATTTCCTTTGTCACTCTAGCTTCAATGCACTCCCAAATATCCCTTTGCCAGATCCTATAAAAACAGTGTTTTATGAATTGTTCTATCAAAAGTATTTATCTATGTGAGATGAATGCACATATCAGAAAGTAGTTTCTCATAATGCTTCTTTCCAGTTTTTGTCTGAAGATATTTCCTTATGATAGAACTTTTTGTGCTAACAAATATCTATTTGCAGATTACACAAAAACAGGGTTTCCAAACTAAGAAGAAAAGTTTAACTGTGTGAGAAGAATGCATGCATCACAAAGAAGTTTCTCAAAAAGATTTTTTCTAGTTTTTATCTGAAATTATTTCCTTTCCCACCATAGGCATCATTGTGATTCCAAATATCCCTTTGCAGATTCTAAAAAAAAAACAGTGTTTCCAAACTGCTCAATCAAAAGTAACATTTAACTCTCTAAGAAGAATGCACACATGACAAAGTGGCTTCTCAGAAACCTTATTTCTAGTTTTTATCTCTAGTTATTTCCTTTTTAAATATAGGCCACGTGTGCTTCCAAATAATCCGTTGCAGATTCTTCAAAAACAGTGTTTCCAGACTGATCAATCAAAAGAAATGTTTAACTCTGTGAGAAGAATGGACACATCACAAAGTGGTTTCTCCAAAAGCTTCTATTTAGTTTTTATCTGAAGAGATTTCTTTTTTGATCATAGGCCTCCTGTGCTCCAAATATCCCTTCACAGATTCTACAAAAACAGTGTTTTCATTCTGATCAATCTAAAGAGAGTTTTAACTCTGTGTGATCAATGCACTAATCACCAAGCAGTTTCTCAGATACCTTCTGTCTTCTTTGAAGATATTTCATGTTCCACCATAGGCCTCAATGCACTCCCAAATATCCCTTTGCAGATTCTACGAAAACAGTGTTCACAAACTGCTCAATCAAAAGAAAGGTTTAACTCTTTGAGATGAATGCACACATCACAAAGCAGTTTCTCAGAAAACTTCAGTCTATTTCTTCTCAGAAGACATTGCCTCTTCCAATATAGGCCTCCAGGTACTCTCATATATCCCTTCAAAGGTTCTACAAAAACAATGTTTCCAAACATTTCCATCAAAAGAAGGAGTTAACTCTGTAACATGAATGCACACATCAGAAAGCAGTTTCTCATAATGCTTCTTTCCAGTTTTTATCTGAAGATGTTTCCTTTATCACCACAGGCTTAATGTGCTCTCAAATATCTCATCACAGATTATGCTAAAAGAGTGTTTCCATACTGCTCAATCAGAAAACATGTTTAACTCTTTGAGTGGGATGCAAACATCGGAAAACAGTTTGTCAGAATCGTTCTTTCTAGTTTTTTCCAAAGATATTTCCTATTTCACTATAGTCTTCGTGTTTTCCGAAACATCCCTTCGCAGATTCTACAAAAACAGTGTTTCCAATCTGATCATTCAAAAGAAAAGTTTTTCTCTGTGAGATGAATGGACACATCACAAAGCAGTTTCCCAAAAAGCTTCTTTCAAGTTGTTATCTGGAGATATTCCCTTTTCCACCATATGCCTCAATGCACTCCCAAATATCCCTTCATGGATTCTATAAAAACACCGTTTCCAAACTGTTCCACAAAAAGAATGATTTAACTCTGTGAGACGAATGCACACCTCACAAAGCAGTTTCTCAGAAATCTTCTTTCTGGTTTTTATCTGAAGTTATTTCCTTTTTCACCATAGCCCTTGTGCACTCCAAAATATCCCTCACAAATTCTGCAAAAAGAGTGTTCCCAAACTGATCATCAAAAGAAAGGTTTAACTCTGTGAGATGAATACACACATCACAAAGCAGTTTCTCCAAAACTTCTTTCTGCTGTTTATCTGAAGATATTTCCTTTTTCACCACAGGCTTCAATGGGCTCTGAAATATCCCTTTGCGGATTCTACAAAAACAGTGCTTCCCAACTGCCCAATCAAAAGAAATGTTTAACCCTGTGAGATGAATGCACATTTCACAAAGCAGTTTCTCCTAAAGCTTCTGTCTAGCTCTTTTTTGAAGATATTTCCTTTTCCATCATAGGCGTCAATGCATTCTCAAATATCAATTTGCTTATTTGACAAAAAAATGTGTTTCCAAACTGTTCCATCAAAAGAAAGACTTAACTCTTTGAGATGAATGCACACATCAGAGAGTTGTTTCTCATAACACTTCTTTCCAGTTTTTATCTGAAGATACTTACTTTTTCACCACATGCTTTTTTGGGCATCCTAATATTGCTCACGGTTTTTGCAAAAACAGTGTTTCCAAACTGTTCACACAAAAGAAAGATTTAAGTCTGTGAGATGAATGCACAGATCAGAAAGCAGTTTCCCAAAAATCTTCTTCCTAGTTTTTATCTGAAGATATTTCCTTCTCCACTATAGACATCAGTGCACTCCCAAATATCCCTTTGCAGATTCTACAAAAATATTGTTTCCAAACTGCTCAATCAAAAGAAATGGTTAACTCTGTGACAAGAATGCACACATCACAAATCGGTTTTTCTAGTTTTTATCTGAAGTTATTTCCTTTTTCACCATAGACCTCATATGCTCCCAAATATCACATCACAGATTCTAAAAAAATAGTGTTTACAAACTGATCAATCAAAAGAAAGGTTTACCTCTGTGAGATGAATGCACGTTTCATAAAGGAGTTTGTCAAAATGTTTCTTTCTAGTTTTTATCCAAAGATATTTCCTTTTTCACTGTAGGCCTCAATGTGCTCAGAAATATCCCTTCACAGTTTCTACAGAAACAGTGTTTCCAAACTGCTCAATCAAAAGAAATCTTTACCTCTGTGAGAAGAATGCACATATCACAAACCAGTTTCTCAAACAACTTCTTTCTAGTTTTTATCTGAAGATATTTCATTTTTCACCACAATCTTCAATGTGCTCCAAAATATCCCTTTGTAGATTCTTCAAAAACAGGGTTTCCAACCTGCTCAATAAAAAGAAAGGTTTACCTCTGTGACAAGAATGCACACATCACAAAACAGTTTCTCAAAAAGCTTCTTTATAGTTTTTATCCAAAGAAATTTCCTTTTTCACCATAGGCTTCAATTCACTCCCAAATATCCCTTCACAGATTCTACAAAAACAGCATTTCCAAACTGCTCAATCAAAAGAATCATTAAACTCTGTAAAATGAATGCACATATCAAAAAGCAATTGCTCAGAAAATTTCTTTCTAGTTTGAATCTTAAGATATTTCCTTTTTCAGCATAGGTCTCAATGAGCTCCCAAATATCCCCTTGCAGATTCTAGAAGAACAGATTTTCAAAACTGCTCAATAAAAAAAAGGTTTAGCTCTGTGAGATGAAGGCACACATCACAAAGCAGTTTCTCAGAAACCTGTATAGTTTGTATCAGAAGATATTTCCTTTTTCGCTGTATGTCTCAAGGCAAATCCAAATATCCCTTCGCAGATTGTACAAAGATTGTGCCTTCAAACTGCTCAATCACAAGAATGGTTTAAATCTGTGAGACGAATGCACAGATAACACAGCAGTTTCGAAGGAAGATCCTTTCTAGTTTTTAAGTGAGGATATTTCCTTTTTCACCAAAGGCCTCAAAGCGCTCAAAATATCGCTTTGCAGATCCCAGAAAAACAGTGGATCCAAACTGCTCAATCAAAAGAATGGTTCAACTCTTAGAGGAATCCACATATCACAAAGAACTTTCTCAGAAAGATTCTTTCTAGTTTTTATGTGCAGATATTTCCTTTTTCATCATAGGCCTCAAAATGCTCCCAAATATCTGCTTAGAGATTCCACAAAAACAATGGTTCCAAACTGCTCAATCAAAAGAATGGTTCAATTCTGTGAGTTGAATTCACACATCACAAAGCAGTTACTCAGAAAGCTTCTGTGTAATTTGATTCAGAAGATACTTCATTTTTCACCACCAGCCTCCATGTGCATCCAAATATTCCTTCACACATTCTACAAACACTGTGTTTCCAAACTGCTCAATCAAAAGTATGGTTAAACTCTGTGAGATGAATGCACACCTCACAAAGCAGTTTCTCAGAAACCTTCTGTCTGGTTTGTATGAGAAGATCTTTCCTTTTAGACCACAGGCCTCACTGTGAATCCCAATATCCCTTCGCATATTCTACATTGTGTTTCCAAACTGGTCAATGAAAAGAAAAGTTTACCTCTGTGACATGAATGCACACATCACAAAGCAGTTTCTCAGAAAGCTTCTGTCTAGTTTGTATCAGAAGATATTTCCTTTGTCAACATAAGCCTCAAGGTGAACCCAAATACCCCTTTGCAGATTCTGCAAACACTGTGTTTCCAAATTGTTCACTCAAAAGAATGGTTTAACTATGTTAGATGAATGTGCACATCACAAAGCAGTTTCTAAGAAAGCTCCTTTCTAATTTTTATGTGAGAATATTTCCTTTTTCACTGTAGGCCTCAAAGTGCTCACAAATATCCCTTTTCAGATTCCAGAAAAACAGTGGTCCCAAACTGCTCAATCAAAAGCGTGGTTCAACTCTGTTAGACGAATGCACACATCACAATGCAGTTTCTCAGAAAGCTTCTTTCTAGTTTTTATGTGAAGGTAAGTCCTTTTTCACCGAAGGCCTCCAAGCGCTCCAAGGGATACCTTTGCAGATTCTACAAAACAGTGATTCTAAAGTGCTCAATCAAAAGAATGGTTCAACTGCATGAGATGAATGCACACATCAGAAAGCATTTTCTGAGAAAGCTTCTGTCTAGTTTGTATCGGAAGATATTTCCTTTTTCACCACAGGCCTCCATGCGAATCAAAATATCCCTTCGCAAATTCCACAAACACTGTGTTTCCAAACTGCTCAATCAAAAGAATGGTTAAACTCTGTGAGATGAATGCACACATCACAGAGAAATTTCTCAGAAACTTTCTTTCTATTTTGTATCAGAAGATATTTCCTTTTTTCACCATAGGCTTCAGTGCACCCCTAAATATCCTTTTGCAGATTCTAGAATTACAGAGTTTCCAAAGATCTCAATGAAAACAAGCGTTTTCCTCTGTGAGATGAATGCACACGTCACAAAGCAGTTTATCAGAAAGCTTCTGTCTAGTTTATATCAGAAGATATTTCCTTTGTCAACATAGGCATCATGGTGAATCCAAATACTCCTTCACAGATTCTGTGAACACTGTTTCCAAACTACTCACTCAACAGAATCATTTAACTCTGTTACATGAATGTGCACATCACAAAGCAGTTTCTAAGAAAGCTCCTTTCTAGTTTTTCTGTGAGGATACTTCCTTTTTCACTGTAGGCCTCAAAGCACTCAAAAATATCCCTTCTCAGATTCTAGAAAAACAGTGGTACCAAACTGCTCAATCAAAAGCGTGGTTAAACTCTGTTAGAGGAATGAACACGTCACAAAGCAGTTTCTCAGAAAGCTTCTTTCTAGTTTTTATGTAAAGATATTTCCTTTTTAACCATAGGCCTCAAAGCTCTCCCAAATATCCCTTTGCAAATTCTGCAAAATGAGTGGTTCCAAACTGCTCAATCAAAAGAATGGTTCAACTCTGTGAGGTGAATGCACACATCACAAAGCAGTTTCTCAGAAAGTTTCTGTCTAGTTTGTATTGTAAGATATATCCTTTTTCACCACAGGGCTCCATGTGAATCCAAATATCCCTTCAAACATTCTACAAACACTGTGTTTCCAGACTTCTCCATCAAAAGAATGGTTAAACACTTTGAGATGAATGCAGACATCACAAAGCAATTTCTCAAAAACTTTCTTTAGAGTTTGTATCTTAGAACACTTCCTATTTCACCATAGGCCTCAATGCTCTCCTAAATATCCCTTTGCAGATTCTAGAAAAACAGTTTCCAAACTGCTCAAAGAAAAGAAACATTTAAACCTGTGAGATGAATGCACACATCACAAAGCAGTTTCTCAGAAAGCTTCTGTCTAGTTTGTATCGGAAGATATTTCTTTCTTCACCACAGGCCTCCATGCAAATCCATATATCCCTTCACAGATTTTACAAACATTGTGTTTGCAAACTGCTCAATCAAAAGAATGGTGAAACACTGTGAGATGAATGTAAACTTCCCACAGCAATTTCTAAGAGACTTTCTTTCTAGTTTATATCAGAAGATATTTCCTTTTTCACTGTAGGCCTCAATGCACTCCAAAATATCCTGTTGAAGATTCTAGAATTACATAGTTTCAAAACTGGTCAATTAAAAGAGACGTTTAAATTTGTGAGATGAATGCACACAACAGAAGCAGTTTCTCAGAAAGTTTGTGTCTAGTTAGTATCAGAAGATATTTTCTTTGTCACCATAGGCCTAAAGGCAAATCAAAATATCCCTTTGCAGATTCTACAAACACTGTGTTTCCAAACTGCTCAATCAAAAGAATGGCTTAACTCTGTGAGACAAATGCACACATCACAAAGCAGTTTCTAAGAAAGCTCCTTTCTAGTTTTTCTGTGAGGATATTTCCTTTTTCACCAAGTGCCTCAAAGAGCTGAAAAATCTCTCTTTGCACACCTAGAAAAACAGTGGTTCCAAACTACTCAATCAAAAGCATGGTTCAAATCTGTTAGAGGAATGCACACATCACAAAGCAGTTTCTCAGAAAGCTCCCTTCTAGTTTTTATGGGAACATATTTCCTTTTTAACCGTAGGCCTCAAAGCACTCCCAAATATCCATTTGCAGATTCTGCAAAAAGAGTGGTTCCAAACTGCTCACTCAAAAGAGTGGTTCAACTCTGTGAGATGAATGCACACATCACAAAGCAGTTTCTCAGAAAGCTTCTGTCTAGTTTATATAGGAAAATATTTTGTTTTTCACCACAGGGCTTCATGCGAACCCAAATATTCCTTCGCACATTCTATGAACACTGTGTTTCCAAACTGCTCAACCAGAAGAATGCTTAAGCTCTTTGAGAGGAATGCACACATCACAAAGAAATTTATCAGAAACTTTCTTTCTGATTTGTACCTTAAGATACTTCCTTTTTCACAATAGGCCTCAGTGCTCTCCCAAATATCTCTTTGCAGATTATAGAAGAACAGAGTTTCCAAACTGTTCAATGAAAATAAACACTAAACACTGTGAGATAAATGCACACATCAAATAGCAGTTTCTCAGAAAGCTTCTGTCTAGTTTGTATCAGAAGATATTTCCTTTTTTCACCACAGGCCTCCATGTGAATCGAAATATCCCTTTGCAGATTCTACAAACACTGTTTCCAAACTGCTTAATCAAAAAAATGGTTAAACACTGTGAGATGAATGCACACATCAAAAGGATATTTCTCAGAGACTTTCTTTCTAGTTTGTATCAGAAGATATTTCTTTTTTCGCAATAGTCCTCATTACTCTCCAAAATATACCTTTGAAGATTCTAGAATTACAGAGTTTCAAAACTGCTCAATGAAAAGATATCTTTAGACCCATGAGATGAATGCACACATCACAAAGCAGTTGCTCAGAAAGCTTCTGTCTAGCTTTGTATCAGATGATATTCCTTTTATTACCACAGACATCCAGACCATTCCAAATATCCCTTCGCAGATTCTACAAATGCTGCATTTCCCATCTGCTCAATCAAAAGAATGGGTTAACTTTGTGAGTCGAATGAACACACCACAAAGCATTTTCTAAGTGAGCTCCTTTTAGTTTTTATCTGAGGATATTTCCTTTTTCAACATAGGCCTCAAAGCACTCACAAACATACCTTTACAGATTCTAGAAAAACAGTTGTTCCAAACTGCTCAATCAAAAGCGTGGTTCAACTCTGTTCTAGCAATGCACACATCACAAAGCAGTTTTTCAGAATGCTTCTTCCTAGTTTTTAGGTGAAGATATTTCCTAATTCACCATAGGCCTCAAAGCACTCAAAAATATACCTTTGCAGATTCTACAAGACCAGCTTTTCCAATCTGCTCAATTAAAAGAAACGTTTACCTCTGTGAGATGAATGCACACATCACAAGCAGTTTCTCAGAAACCTTCTGTATAGTTTTTATGTGAAGATATTTCTGTTTTCACCATAGGCCTCAGAACGCTCCCAAATATCTCTTTGCAGATTCTACAAAAAGACTGTTCCCAAACTGCTCAATCAAAAGAAAGGTGCAACTCTGTGAGATGAATGTATGCATCACAAAGAAGTTTCTCAGAATCCTTCTGTCTAGTTTTTAATGTGAAGACATTTCCTTTTTCACCACAGGCAGAAAAACGCTCACAAACATCCCTTTGCAGATTCGACAAGAACAGAGTTTCCAATCTGCTCTATGAAAAGAAACATTTACCTCTGTGAGATGAATGCACACATCACAAAGCAGATTCTCAGAAACCTTCTGTCTCATTTTTATGTGAAGATATTTCCTTTGTCACCTAAGGTCTCAAAGTGATCACAAATATCCCCTTGCAGATTCTACAAAAAGAATGTTTCCAAACTGCTCAATCAAAAGAAAGGTTCTACTCTGTGAGATGAATGCACACATCACAAAGAAGTTTCTCAGAAAGCTTCTGTCTAGTTTTTATGTGAAGACATTTCCTTTTTCACCATAGGCCTAAATGCGCTCACAAATATCCCTTTGCAGAATCTACAAGAACAGAGTATCCAATGTGTTCAATGAAAAGAAACGTTTACCTCTGTGAGTTGAATGCACACTTCAAAAAGTGGTTCCTCAGAAGCCTTCTGTCTAGTTTTTATGTGAAGATATTTCCTTTTTCACCAGAGACCTCAAAACTATCACAAATATCCCTTTGCAGATTCTACAAAAAAACTGTTTCCAAATTTCTCAATCAAAAGAAAGGTTCTGCTCTGTGAGATGAATGCACACATCACAAAGAAGTTTCTCAGAAAGCTTCTGTCTAGTTTTTATGTGAAGATATTTCCTTTTTCACCATATGCCTCAAAGGGCTCCAAACTATTGCTTTGCAGATTCTACAGAAAGACTGTTTCCAAACTGGTCAATCAAAAGAAAGGTTCAACTCTGTGAAATGAATGCACACATCAAGAAGAAGTTTCCCAGAAAGCTTTTTTCTAGTTTTTATGTGAAGATATTTCCTTTTCCACCATAGGCCTCAAAGCACTCACAAGTATCCCATCACAGATACTACAAAATGACTTTCCAAACTGCTCAATCAAAAGAAAGGTTCAACTCTGTGAGACAAATGCATGCATCACAAAGAAGTTCGTCAGAAAGTTTCTATCTATTGAGAAGTGTCTGTTCATGTCCTTCGCCCACTTTTTGATGGGGTTGTTTGTTTTTTTCTTGTAAATTTGTTTGAGTTCATTGTAGATTCTGGATATTAGCCCTTTGTCAGATGAGTAGGTTGCAGAAATTTTCTCCCATTTTGTAGGTTGCCTGTTCACTCTGATGGTAGTTTCTTTTGCTGTGCAGAAGCTCTTTAGTTTAATTAGATCCCATTTGTCAATTTTGGCTTTTGTTGCCATTGCTTTTGGTGTTTTAGACATGAAGTCCTTGCCCATGCCTATGTCCTGAATGGTAATGCCTAGGTTTTCTTCTAGGGTTTTTATGGTTTTAGGTCTAACGTTTAAGTCTTTAATCCATCTTGAATTGATTTTTGTATAAGGTGTAAGGAAAGGATCCAGTTTCAGCTTTCTACATATGGCTAGCCAGTTTTCCCAGCACCATTTATTAAATAGGGAATCCTTTCATCATTGCTTGTTTTTCTCAGGTTTGTCAAGGATCAGATAGTTGTAGACATGCAGCGTTATTTCTGAGGGCCCTGTTCTGTTCCATTGATCTATATCTCTGTTTTGGTACCAGTACCATGCTGTTTTGGTTACTGTAGCCTTGTAGTATAGTTTGAAGTCAGGTAGTGTGATGCCTCCAGCTTTGTTCTTTTGGCTTAGGATTGACTTGGTGATGCAGGCTCTTTTTTCGTTCCATATGAACTTTAAAGAAGATATTTATGCAGCCAAAAAACACATGAAAAAATGCTCATCATCACTGGCCATCAGAGAAATGCAAATCAAAACCACAATGAGATACCATCTCACAATAGTTAGAATGACAATCATTAAAAAGTCAGGAAACAACAGGTGCTGGAGAGGATTTGGAGAAATAGGAACACTTTTACACTGTTGGTGGGACTGTAAACTAGTTCAACCATTGTGGAAGCCAGTGTGGAGATTCCTCAGGGATCTAGAACTAGAAATACCATTTGACCCAGCCATCCCATTACTGGGTATATACCCAAAGGACTATAAATCATGCTGCTATAAGGACACATGCACACATATGTTTATTGCGGCATTGTTCACAATACCAAAGACTTGGAACCAACCCCAATGTCCAACAATGATAGACTGGATTAAGAAAATGTGGCACATATACACCATGGAATACTATGCAGCCATAAAAAATGATGAGTTCATGTCCTTTGTAGGGACATGGATGAAATTGGAAATCATCATTCTCAGTAAACTATCGCAAGAACAAAAAACCAAACACCACATATTCTCACTCATAGGTGGGAATTGAACAATGAGATCACATGGACACAGGAAGGAAAATATTACACTCTGGGGACTGTTGTGGGGTGGGGGTAGGGGGGAGGGATAGCATTGGGAGATATACCTAATGCTAGATGATGAATTAGTGGGTGCAGCGCACCAGCATGACACATGTATACATATGTAACTAACCTGCAGAATGTGCACATGTACCCTAAAACTTAAAGTATAATTTAAAAAAAGAAAATAAAATTTCTATCTAGTTTTTATGGGAAGATATTTCCTTTTTCAACATTGTCCTGAAAGCACTCACAAATATCCCTTTGCAGATTCTACAAGAACAGAGTTCCCAATCTGCTCAATGAAAAGAAACGTACACCTTTGAGAGATGAATGCACACATCAGAAACAGATTCTCAGATACCTTCTGTATAGTTTTCATGTGAAGATATTTCCGTTTTCACTGTAGGCTTCAAAGTGCTCACAAATATATCTTTGGAGATTCTAGAAGGAGATAATTTCCAATCTGCACAATGAAAAGAAAAGTTTACCTCTGTGAGATGAATGCACACTTCACAAAGCAGTTTTTCAGAAGCCTTCTGTCTACTTTTTATGTGAAGATATTTCCTTTTTCACCAGAGGTCTCAAAGCGATCACAAATATCCCTTTGCAGATCCTACAAAAAGACTGTTTCCAAACTGCTCAATCAAAAGAAAGGTTCAAGTCTGTCACATGAATGCACCCATCACAAAGAAGTTTCTCAGAAGGCTTCTGTCTACTTTTTACATGAAGCTATTTCGTTTTTGCCATATGCCTCTAAGGGCTCAAAAATATACTTTGCAGATTCTACAAGAAGACTGTTTCCAATCTGCTCAATCAAAAAAAGGTTCTACTCTGTGAGATGAATGCACACATCACAAAGATGTTTCCAGGAAAGCTTCTATCTAGTTTTTATATGAAGATATTCCCTTTTTCACCATAGGCCTCACAGGGATCCAACATACACCCTTGCAGATTCTACAAGAAGACTGTTTCCAAACTGCTCCATCAAAAAAAAGTTTCAACTATGAGAGGTGAATGAACACATGACAACGAATTTTTCCAGAAAGCCTCTGTCTAGTTTTTATGGGAAGATATTGCCTTTTTCACCACAGGCCAAAAAGTGCTCACAACTAACACCTTGTATATTCTACAAAAAGACTGTTTCCAAACTGCTCAATCAAAAGAAAAGTTGACCTCTGTGAGATGAATAAACACTTCTCAAAGACGTTTCTCAGAAGCCTTCTGTCTAGTTTTTATGTCAAGATATTTTCTTTTTCACCATAGGCCTCAAAGCCCAGAGAAATATCCCTTTGCAGATTCTACATAAAGACTGTTTTCAAACTGCTCAACAAAAAGATAGGTTCAACTCTGTGAGACGAAAACCCACATCACAAAGAAGATTCTCTGAAAGCTTCAGTATAGTTTTTATATAAAGACACTTTCTTTTCCACCATAGACCGCAAAGCATGCACAAATATCCCTTTGCAGATTCTACAAAAAGACTGTTTCTAAACTGCTGAAACAAAAGAAAGGTTCAACTCTGTGAGATGGATGCACACATCACAAAGCGGTTTCTAAGAAAACTTTTGTCTAGTTTTTATGTGAAGACTTTTCGTTTTTTACCGTAAGTCTCAAAACTCTCACAAACATCCCTTTGCAGATTTTACAAGAACAGAATTTCCAGTCTGCTCAATGAAAATAAATGGTTACCTCTGTGAGATGAATGCACATATCAAGTTTCTCAGAAACCTCCCTTCTAATTTTTATGTGATGATATATCCTTTTTCACCATAGGCCTCAAAGCACTCACAAATACCCCATAGCAGATACTTCAAGAAGACTATCTCCAAAGTGCTAAATCAAAAGAATATTTCAACTCTTTGAGATGAATGGACACATCACAAAGAAGTTTCTCGGAAATATTCTTTGTAGTTTTTATGTGAAGATATTTCATTTTTCACCATTGGCCTCAAACTGCTCACAAATATCCCTTTGCAGATTTTACAAAAAGACTGTTTCCAAACTGCTCAATCAAAAGAAAGGTTCAAATCCGTTAGATGAATACACACATCACAAAGAAGTCTCTCAGAATGCGTCTGTCTGCTTTTTATGTGAAGATATTTCTTTTTCACCATGGGCCTCAAACCGCTCAGAAATATACCTTTGGAGATTCTACAAAAAGACTGTTTCCAAACTGCTCAATAAAAAGAAAGTTTCAACTCTGTGAGATGAATGCACGCATCACTAAGAAGTTTCCCAGAAAGCTTCTGTCTAGTTTTCATGTGAAGATATTCCCTTTTTCACCATACGCCCCAAACTGCTCAGAAATAGTCTTTTGCAGATTCTAGTAAAAGACTGTTTCCAAACTGCTCAATCAAAGAAAGCTTTAACTCTGTGAGATGAATGCACGCATCACAAAGAAGTTTCTCAGAAAGCTTCTGTCTAGTTTTTATGTGAAGATATTTCCTTTTTCTCCACAGCCTTCAAAGGGTTCCCAAATATCCCTTTGCAGATTCTACTAAAAGACTGGTTCCTAACTGCTTAATCAAAAGAATGTTTCAACTTTGTGAGATGAATGTGTGGAACACAAAGAAGTTTCTCAGAAAACTTCTGTCTAGTTTTCATATGAAGATATTTCCTTTTCCATCATAAGCCTGAAACTGCTCAGAAATATACCTTTGCAGATTCTACAAAAAGACTGTTTCCAAACGGCTCAATCAAAAGGGATGTTTAACTCTGTGAGATGAATGCACTCATCACAAAGGCGTTTCTCACAAAAGC